>NC_000007.14:58356142-58556279 GCF_000001405.40 Homo sapiens | reverse complement strand
CTGAGAACTCTTCTTAGTCTAGCATGAAAGGAAGAAACCCCGTTTGCAACGAAGGCCTCAAAGAGGTCCAAATATCCACTTGCAGACATAACAAGCAGAGTGTTTCTAAACTGCTCTAAGAAAAGAAAGGTTAAACTCTGTGAGTTGAAGGCACACATCACAAAGTAGTTTCTGAGAATGATTCTGTCTAGTTTTTATTTGAAGATATTTCCTTTTCTACTGTTGGCATCAAATCGCTTGAAATCTCCACTTGCAAACTCCACAAAAAGAGTGTTTCAAATCTGCTCTGTGTAAAGGGACGTTCCACTCTGTGAGTTGAATACACACAGCACAAAGAAGTTACTGAGAATTCTTCTGTCTAGCATGAAATGAAGAAATCCCGTTTCCAACGAAGGCCTCAATGCGGTCCATATATCCACTTGCAGACTTTACAAACAGAGTGTTTCCAAACTGCTCTATGAAAAGAAAGGTTAAACTATGTGAGTTGAACGCACACATCACAAAGAATTTTCTGAGAATGATTCTGTCTGGTTTTTATTTGAAGATATTTCCCTTTCTACTGTTGGCATCAAATGGCTAGAAATCTCCACTTGCAAATTCCGCAAAAAGAGTGTTTCAAATCTGCTCTGTCTAAAGGGACGTTCCACTCTGTGAGTTGAATGCACACAACACAAAGAATTTACTGAGAATTCTTCCGTCTAGCATTCAATGAAGAAATCCCGTTTCCAACGAAGGCCTCAAACAGGTCCATATATCCAATTGCAGACTTTACAAACAGTGTGTTTCCAAACTCCTCTATGAAAAGAAAGGTTAAACTCTGAGTTGAACGCACACATCACAAAGCACTTTCTGAGAATGATTCTGTCTGGTTATTATACGAAGATATTTCCTTTTCTGCAATTGTCCTCAAAACGCTTGAAATCTCCACCTGAAAATGCCACAGCAAGAGTGTTTCAAATCTGCTCTCTCTAAAGCAAGGTTCAACTCTGTGAGTTGAATACACACAACACAAAAAAGTTACTGAGAACTCTTCTTAGTCTAGCATTAAAGGAAGAAACCCCGTTTGCAACGAAGGCCTCAAAGAGGTCCAAATATCCACTTGCAGACATAACAAGCAGAGTGTTTCTAAACTGCTCTAAGAAAAGAAAGGTTAAACTCTGTGAGTTGAAGGCACACATCACAAAGTAGTTTGTGAGAATGATTCTGTCTAGTTTTTATTTGAAGATATTTCCTTTTCTACTGTTGGCATCAAATCGCTTGAAATCTCCACTTGCAAATTCCACAAAAAGAGTGTTTCAAATCTGCTCTGTGCAAAGGGACGTTCCACTCTGTGAGTTGAATACACACAGCACAAAGAAGTTACTGAGAATTCTTCTGTCTAGCATGAAATGAAGAAATCCCGTTTCCAACGAAGGCCTCAATGCGGTCCATATATCCACTTGCAGACTTTACAAACAGAGTGTTTCCAAACTGCTCTATGAAAAGAAAGGTTAAACTATGTGAGTTGAACGCACACATCACAAAGAATTTTCTGAGAATGATTCTGTCTGGTTTTTATTTGAAGATATTTCCCTTTCTACTGTTGGCATCAAATGGCTAGAAATCTCCACTTGCAAATTCCGCAAAAAGAGTGTTTCAAATCTGCTCTGTCTAAAGGGACGTTCCACTCTGTGAGTTGAATGCACACAACACAAAGAATTTACTGAGAATTCTTCCGTCTAGCATTCAATGAAGAAATCCCGTTTCCAACGGAGGCCTCAAACAGGTCCATATATCCAATTGCAGACATTACAAACAGTGTGTTTCGAAGCTCCTCTATGAAAAGAAAGGTTAAACTCTGTGAGTTGAACGCACACATCACAACGCACTTTCTGAGAATGATTCTGTCTGGTTATTATACGAAGATATTTCCTTTTCTGCAATTGTCCTCAAAACGCTTGAAATCTCCACCTGAAAATGCCACAGCAAGAGTGTTTCAAATCTGCTCTCTCTAAAGCAAGGTTCAACTCTGTGAGTTGAATACACACAACACAAAAAAGTTACTGAGAACTCTTCTTAGTCTAGCATGAAAGGAAGAAACCCCGTTTGCAACGAAGGCCTCAAAGAGGTCCAAATATCCACTTGCAGACATAACAAGCAGAGTGTTTCTAAACTGCTCTAAGAAAAGAAAGGTTAAACTCTGTGAGTTGAAGGCACACATCACAAAGTAGTTTCTGAGAATGATTCTGTCTAGTTTTTATTTGAAGATATTTCCTTTTCTACTGTTGGCATCAAATCGCTTGAAATCTCCACTTGCAAATTCCACAAAAAGAGTGTTTCAAATCTGCTCTGTGTAAAGGGACGGTTCCACTCTGTGAGTTGAATACACACAGCACAAAGAAGTTACTGAGAATTCTTCTGTCTAGCATGAAATGAAGAAATCCCGTTTCCAACGAAGGCCTCAATGCGGTCCATATATCCACTTGCAGACTTTACAAACAGAGTGTTTCCAAACTGCTCTATGAAAAGAAAGGTTAAACTATGTGAGTTGAACGCACACATCACAAAGAATTTTCTGAGAATGATTCTGTCTGGTTTTTATTTGAAGATATTTCCCTTTCTACTTTTGGCATCAAATGGCTAGAAATCTCCACTTGCAAATTCCGCAAAAAGAGTGTTTCAAATCTGCTCTGTCTAAAGGGACGCTCCACTCTGTCAGTTGCATGCACACAACACAAAGAATTTACTGAGACTTCTTCCGTCTAGCATTCAATGAAGAAATCCCGTTTCCAATGAAGGCCTCAAACAGGTCCATATATCCAATTGCAGACTTTACAAACAGTGTGTTTCCAAACTCCTCTATGAAAAGAAAGGTTAAACTCTGTGAGTTGAACGCACACATCACAAAGCACTTTCTGAGAATGATTCTGTCTAGTTTTTATTTGAAGATATTTCCCTTTGTACTGTTGGCATCAAATGGCTAGAAATCTCCACTTGCAACTTCCGCAAAAAGAGTGTTTCAAATCTGCTCTGTCTAAAGGGACGTTCCACTCTGTGAGTTGAATGCACACAACACAAAAAAGTTACTGAGAAGTCTTCTTAGTCTAGCATTAAAGGAAGAAACCCCGTTTGCAACGAAGGCCTCAAAGAGGTCCAAATATCCACTTGCAGACATAACAAGCAGAGTGTTTCTAAACTGCTCTAAGAAAAGAAAGGTTAAACTCTGTGAGTTGAAGGCACACATCACAAAGTAGTTTCTGAGAATGATTCTGTCTAGTTTTTATTTGAAGATATTTCCTTTTCTACTGTTGGCATCAAATCGCTTGAAATCTCCACTTGCAAACTCCACAAAAAGAGTGTTTCAAATCTGCTCTGTGTAAAGGGACGTTCCACTCTGTGAGTTGAATACACACAGCACAAAGAAGTTACTGAGAATTCTTCTGTCTAGCATGAAATGAAGAAATCCCGTTTCCAACGAAGGCCTCAATGCGGTCCATATATCCACTTGCAGACTTTACAAACAGAGTGTTTCCAAACTGCTCTATGAAAAGAAAGGTTAAACTATGTGAGTTGAACGCACACATCACAAAGAATTTTCTGAGAATGATTCTGTCTGGTTTTCATTTGAAGATATTTCCCTTTCTACTGTTGGCATCAAATGGCTAGAAATCTCCACTTGCAAATTCCGCAAAAAGAGTGTTTCAAATCTGCTCTGTCTAAAGGGACGTTCCACTCTGTGAGTTGAATGCACACAACACAAAGAATTTACTGAGAATTCTTCCGTCTAGCATTCAATGAAGAAATCCCGTTTCCAACGAAGGCCTCAAACAGGTCCATATATCCACTTGCAGACTTTACAAACAGTGTGTTTCCACACTCCTCTATGAAAAGAAAGATTAAACTCTGTGAGTTGAACGCACACATCACAAAGCACTTTCTGAGAATGATTCTGTCTGGTTATTATACGAAGATATTTCCTTTTCTGCAATTGTCCTCAAATCGCTTGAAATCTCCACCTGAAAATGCCACAGCAAGAGTGTTTCAAATCTGCTCTCTCTAAAGCAAGGTTCAACTCTGTGAGTTGAATACACACAACACAAAAAAGTTACTGAGAACTCTTCTTAGTCTAGCATGAAAGGAAGAAACCCCGTTTGCAACGAAGGCCTCAAAGAGGTCCAAATATCCACTTGCAGACATAACAAGCAGAGTGTTTCTAAAGTGCTCTAAGAAAAGAAAGGTTAAACTCTGTGAGTTGAAGGCACACATCACAAAGTAGTTTCTGAGAATGATTCTGTCTAGTTTTTATTTGAAGATATTTCCTTTTCTACTGTTGGCATCAAATCGCTTGAAATCTCCACTTGCAAATTGCACAAAAAGAGTGTTTCAAATCTGCTCTGTGCAAAGGGACGTTCCACTCTGTGAGTTGAATACACACAGCACCAAGAAGTTACTGAGAATTCTTCTGTCTAGCATGAAATGAAGAAATCCCGTTTCCAACGAAGGCCTCAATGCTGGTCCATATATCCACTTGCAGACTTTACAAACAGAGTGTTTCCAAACTGCTCTATGAAAAGAAAGGTTAAACTATGTGAGTTGAATGCACACATCACAAAGAATTTTCTGAGAATGATTCTGTCTGGTTTTTATTTGAAGATATTTCCCTTTCTACTGTTGGCATCAAATGGCTAGAAATCTCCACTTGCAAATTCCGCAAAAAGAGTGTTTCAAATCTGCTCTGTCTAAAGGGACGTTCCACTCTGTGAGTTGAATGCACACAACACAAAGAATTTACTGAGAATTCTTCCGTCTAGCATGCAATGAAGAAATCCCGTTTCCAACGAAGGCCTCAAACAGGTCCATATATCCAATTGCAGACTTTACAAACAGTGTGTTTCCAAACTCCTCTATGAAAAGAAAGGTTAAACTCTGTGAGTTGAACGCACACATCACAAAGCACTTTCTGAGAATGATTCTGTCTGGTTGTTATACGAAGATATTTCCTTTTCTGCAATTGTCCTCAAATCGCTTGAAATCTCCACCTGAAAATGCCACAGCAAGAGTGTTTCAAATCTGCTCTCTCTAAAGCAAGGTTCAACTCTGTGAGTTGAATACACACAACACAAAAAAGTTACTGAGAACTCTTCTTAGTCTAGCATTAAAGGAAGAAACCCCGTTTGCAACGAAGGCCTCAAAGAGGTCCAAATATCCACTTGCAGACATAACAAGCAGAGTGTTTCTAAACTGCTCTAAGAAAAGAAAGGTTAAACTCTGTGAGTTGAAGGCACACATCACAAAGTAGTTTCTGAGAATGATTCTGTCTAGTTTTTATTTGAAGATATTTCATTTTCTACTGTTGGCATCAAATCGCTTGAAATCTCCACTTGCAAACTCCACAAAAAGAGTGTTTCAAATCTGCTCTGTGTAAAGAGACGTTCCACTCTGTGAGTTGAATACACACAGCACAAAGAAGTTACTGAGAATTCTTCTGTCTAGCATGAAATGAAGAAAACCCGTTTCCAACGAAGGCCTCAAAGCGGTCCATATATCTACTTGCAGACTTTACAAACAGAGTGTTTCCAAACTGCTCTATGAAAAGAAAGGTTAAACTATGTGAGTTGAACGCACACATCACAAAGAATTTTCTGAGAATGATTCTGTCTAGTTTTTATTTGAAGATATTGCCCTTTCTATTGTTGGCATCAAATGGCTTGAAATCTCCACTTCCAAATTTCGCAAAAAGAGTGTTTCAAATCTGCTCTGTCTAAAGGGACGTTCCACTCGGTTAGTTGAATGCACACAACACAAAGAGTTTACTGAGAATTCTTCCGTCTAGCATTCAATGAAGAAATCCCGTTTCCAACGAAGGCCTCAAACACGTCCATATATCCACTTGTAGACTTTACAAACAGTGTGTTTCCAAACTCCTCTATGAAAAGAAAGGTTAAACTCTGTGAGTTGAACGCACACATCACAAAGCACTTTCTGAGAATGATTCTTTCTGGTTATTATACGAAGATATTTCCTTTTCTGCAATTGTCCTCAAATCGCTTGAAATCTCCACCTGAAAATGTCACAGCAAGAGTGTTTCAAATCTGCTCTCTCTAAAGCAAGGTTCAACTCTGTGAGTTGAATACACACAACACAAAAAAGTTACTGAGAACTCTTCTTAGTCTAGCATGAAAGAAGAAACCCCGTTTGCAACGAAGGCCTCAAAGAGGTCCAAATATCCACTTGCAGACATAACAAGCAGAGTGTTTCTAAACTGCTCTAAGAAAAGAAAGGTTAAACTCTGTGAGTTGAAGGCACACATCACAAAGTAGTTTCTGAGAATGATTCTGTCTAGTTTTTATTTGAAGATATTTCCTTTTCTACTGTTGGCATCAAATCGCTTGAAATCTCCACTTGCAAACTCCACAAAAAGAGTGTTTCAAATCTGCTCTGTGTAAAGGGACGTTCCACTCTGTGAGTTGAATACACACAGCACAAAGAAGTTACTGAGAATTCTTCTGTCTAGCATGAAATGAAGAAATCCCGTTTCCAACGAAGGCCTCAATGCGGTCCATATATCCACTTGCAGACTTTACAAACAGAGTGTTTCCAAACTGCTCCATGAAAAGAAAGGTTAAACTATGTGAGTTGAACGCACACATCACAAAGAATTTTCTGAGAATGATTTCTGTCTGGTTTTTATTTGAAGATATTTCCCTTTCTACTGTTGGCATCAAATGGCTAGAAATCTGCACTTGCAAATTCCGCAAAAAGAGTGTTTCAAATCTGCTCTGTCTAAAGGGACGTTCCACTCTGTGAGTTGAATGCACACAACACAAAGAATTTACTGAGAATTCTTCCGTCTAGCATTCAATGAAGAAATCCCGTTTCCAACGAAGGCCTCAAACAGGTCCATATATCCAATTGCAGACTTTACAAACAGTGTGTTTCCAAACTCCTCTATGAAAAGAAAGGTTAAACTCTGTGAGTTGAACGCACACATCACAAAGCACTTTCTGAGAATGATTCTGTCTGGTTATTATACGAAGATATTTCCTTTTCTGCAATTGTCCTCAAATCGCTTGAAATCTCCACCTGAAAATGCCACAGCAAGAGTGTTTCAAATCTGCTCTCTCTAAAGCAAGGTTCAACTCTGTGAGTTGAATACACACAACACAAAAAAGTTACTGAGAACTCTTCTTAGTCTAGCATGAAAGGAAGAAACCCCGTTTGCAACGAAGGCCTCAAAGAGGTCCAAATATCCACTTGCAGACATAACAAGCAGAGTGTTTCTAAACTGCTCTAAGAAAAGAAAGGTTAAACTCTGTGAGTTGAAGGCACACATCACAAAGTAGTTTCTGAGAATGATTCTGTCTAGTTTTTATTTGAAGATATTTCCTTTTCTACTGTTGGCATCAAATCGCTTGAAATCTCCACTTGCAAATTCCACAAAAAGAGTGTTTCAAATCTGCTCTGTGTAAAGGAACGTTCCACTCTGTGAGTTGAATACACACAGCACAAAGAAGTTACTGAGAATTCTTCTGTCTAGCATGAAATGAAGAAATCCCGTTTCCAACGAAGGCCTCAATGCGGTCCATATATCCACTTGCAGACTTTACAAACAGAGTGTTTCCAAACTGCTCTATGAAAAGAAAGGTTAAACTATGTGAGTTGAACGCACACATCACAAAGAATTTTCTGAGAATGATTCTGTCTGGTTTTTATTTGAAGATATTTCCCTTTCTACTGTTGGCATCAAATGGCTAGAAATCTCCACTTGCAAATTCCGCAAAAAGAGTGTTTCAAATCTGCTCTGTCTAAAGGGACGTTCCACTCTGTGAGTTGAATGCACACAACACAAAGAATTTACTGAGAATTCTTCCGTCTAGCATTCAATGAAGAAATCCCGTTTCCAACGAAGGCCTCAAACAGGTCCATATATCCACTTGCAGACTTTACAAACAGTGTGTTTCCAAACTCCTCTATGGAAAGAAAAGTTAAACTCTGTGAGTTGAACGCACACATCACAAAGCACTTTCTGAGAATGATTCTGTCTGGTTATTATACGAAGATATTTCCTTTTCTGCAATTGTCCTCAAATCGCTTGAAATCTCCACCTGAAAATGCCACAGCAAGAGTGTTTCAAATCTGCTCTCTCTAAAGCAAGGTTCAACTCTGTGAGTTGAATACACACAACACAAAAAAGTTACTGAGAACTCTTCTTAGTCTAGCATTAAAGGAAGAAACCCCGTTTGCAACGAAGGCCTCAAAGAGGTCCAAATATCCACTTGCAGACATAACAAGCAGAGTGTTTCTAAACTGCTCTAAGAAAAGAAAGGTTAAACTCTGTGAGTTGAAGGCACACATCACAAAGTAGTTTCTGAGAATGATTCTGTCTAGTTTTTATTTGAAGATATTTCCTTTTCTACTGTTGGCATCAAATCGCTTGAAATCTCCACTTGCAAACTCCACAAAAAGAGTGTTTCAAATCTGCTCTGTGTAAAGGGACGTTCCACTCTGTGAGTTGAATACACACAGCACAAAGAAGTTACTGAGAATTCTTCTGTCTAGCATGAAATGAAGAAATCCCGTTTCCAACGAAGGCCTCAATGCGGTCCATATATCCACTTGCAGACTTTACAAACAGAGTGTTTCCAAACTGCTCTATGAAAAGAAAGGTTAAACTATGTGAGTTGAACGCACACATCACAAAGAATTTTCTGAGAATGATTCTGTCTGGTTTTTATTTGAAGATATTTCCCTTTCTACTGTTGGCATCAAATGGCTAGAAATCTCCACTTGCAAATTCCGCAAAAAGGGTGTTTCAAATCTGCTCTGTCTAAAGGGACGTTCCACTCTGTCAGTTGAATGCACACAACACAAAGAATTTACTGAGAATTCTTCCGTCTAGCATTCAATGAAGAAATCCCGTTTCCAACGAAGGCCTCAAACAGGTCCATATATCCACTTGCAGACTTTACAAACAGTGTGTTTCCAAACTCCTCTATGAAAAGAAAGGTTAAACTCTGTGAGTGGAACGCACACATCACAAAGCACTTTCTGAGAATGATTCTGTCTGGTTATTATTTGAAGATATTTCCTTTTCTGCAATTGTCCTCAAATCGCTTGAAATCTCCACCTGAAAATGCCACAGCAAGAGTGTTTCAAATCTGCTCTCTCTAAAGCAAGGTTCAACTCTGTGAGTTGAATACACACAGCACAAAGAAGTTACTGAGAATTCTTCTGTCTAGCATGAAATGAAGAAATCCCGTTTCCAACGAAGGCCTCAATGCGGTCCATATATCCACTTGCAGACTTTACAAACAGAGTGTTTCCAAACTGCTCTATGAAAAGAAAGGTTAAACTATGTGAGTTGAACGCACACATCACAAAGAATTTTCTGAGAATGATTCTGTCTAGTTTTTATTTGAAGATATTTCCCTTTATACTGTTGGCATCAAATGGCTAGAAATCTCCACTTGCAAATTCCGCAAAAAGAGTGTTTCAAATCTGCTCTGTCTAAAGGGTCGTTCCACTCTGTGAGTTGAATGCACACAACACAAAGAATTTACTGAGAATTCTTCCGTCTAGCATGCAATGAAGAAATCCCGTTTCCAACGAAGGCCTCAAACAGGTCCATATATCCAATTGCAGACTTTACAAACAGTGTGTTTCCAAACTCCTCTATGAAAAGAAAGGTTAAACTCTGTGAGTTGAACGCACACATCACAAAGCACTTTGCTGAGAATGATTCTGTCTGGTTATTATACGAGAATTTCCTTTTCTGCAATTGTCCTCAAATCGCTTGAAATCTCCACCTGAAAATGCCACAGCAAGAGTGTTTCAAATCTGCTCTCTCTAAAGCAAGGTTCAACTCTGTGAGTTGAATACACACAACACAAAAAAGTTACTGAGAACTCTTCTTAGTCTAGCATGAAAGGAAGAAACCCCGTTTGCAACGAAGGCCTCAAAGAGGTCCAAATATCCACTTGCAGACATAACAAGCAGAGTGTTTCTAAACTGCTCTAAGAAAAGAAAGGTTAAACTCTGTGAGTTGAAGGCACACATCACAAAGTAGTTTCTGAGAATGATTCTGTCTAGTTTTTATTTGAAGATATTTCCTTTTCTACTGTTGGCATCAAATCGCTTGAAATCTCCACTTGCAAACTCCACAAAAAGAGTGTTTCAAATCTGCTCTGTGTAAAGGGACGTTCCACTCTGTGAGTTGAATACACACAGCACAAAGAAGTTACTGAGAATTCTTCTGTCTAGCATGAAATGAAGAAATCCCGTTTCCAACGAAGGCCTCAATGCGGTCCATATATCCACTTGCAGACTTTACAAACAGAGTGTTTCCAAACTGCTCTATGAAAAGAAAGGTTAAACTATGTGAGTTGAACGCACACATCACAAAGAATTTTCTGAGAATGATTCTGTCTGGTTTTTATTTGAAGATATTTCCCTTTCTACTGTTGGCATCAAATGGCTAGAAATCTCCACTTGCAAATTCCGCAAAAAGAGTGTTTCAAATCTGCTCTGTCTAAAGGGACGTTCCACTCTGTCAGTTGAATGCACACAACACAAAGAATTTACTGAGAATTCTTCCGTCTAGCATTCAATGAAGAAATCCCGTTTCCAACGAAGGCCTCAAACAGGTCCATATATCCACTTGCAGAGTTTACAAACAGTGTGTTTCCAAACTCCTCTATGAAAAGAAAGGTTAAACTCTGTGAGTGGAACGCACACATCACAAAGCACTTTCTGAGAATGATTCTGTCTGGTTATTATACGAAGATATTTCCTTTTCTGCAATTGTCCTCAAATCGCTTGAAATCTCCACCTGAAAATGCCACAGCAAGAGTGTTTCAAATCTGCTCTCTCTAAAGCAAGGTTCAACTCTGTGAGTTGAATACACACAACACAAAAAAGTTACTGAGAACTCTTCTTAGTCTAGCATGAAAGGAAGAAACCCCGTTTGCAACGAAGGCCTCAAAGAGGTCCAAATATCCACTTGCAGACATAACAAGCAGAGTGTTTCTAAACTGCTCTAAGAAAAGAAAGGTTAAACTCTGTGAGTTGAAGGCACACATCACAAAGTAGTTTCTGAGAATGATTCTGTCTAGTTTTTATTTGAAGATATTTCCTTTTCTACTGTTGGCATCAAATCGCTTGAAATCTCCACTTGCAAACTCCACAAAAAGAGTGTTTCAAATCTGCTCTGTGCAAAGGGACGTTCCACTCTGTGAGTTGAATACACACAGCACAAAGAAGTTACTGAGAATTCTTCTGTCTAGCATGAAATGAAGAAATCCCGTTTCCAACGAAGGCCTCAATGCGGTCCATATATCCACTTGCAGACTTTACAAACAGAGTGTTTCCAAACTGCTCTATGAAAAGAAAGGTTAAACTATGTGAGTTGAACGCACACATCACAAAGAATTTTCTGAGAATGTTTCTGTCTGGTTTTTATTTGAAGATATTTCCCTTTCTACTGTTGGCATCAAATGGCTAGAAATCTCCACTTGCAAATTCCGCAAAAAGAGTGTTTCAAATCTGCTCTGTCTAAAGGGACGTTCCACTCTGTGAGTTGAATGCACACAACACAAAGAATTTACTGAGAATTCTTCCGTCTAGCATTCAATGAAGAAATCCCGTTTCCAACGAAGGCCTCAAACAGGTCCTTATATCCAATTGCAGACTTTACAAACAGTGTGTTTCCAAACTCCTCTATGAAAAGAAAGGTTAAACTCTGTGAGTTGAACGCACACATCACAAAGCACTTTCTGAGAATGATTCTGTCTGGTTATTATACGAAGATATTTCCTTTTCTGCAATTGTCCTCAAATCGCTTGAAATCTCCACCTGAAAATGCCACAGCAAGAGTGTTTCAAATCTGCTCTCTCTAAAGCAAGGTTCAACTCTGTGATTTGAATACACACAACACAAAAAAGTTACTGAGAACTCTTCTTAGTCTAGCATGAAAGGAAGAAACCCCGTTTGCAACGAAGGCCTCAAAGAGGTCCAAATATCCACTTGCAGACATAACAAGCAGAGTGTTTCTAAACTGCTCTAAGAAAAGAAAGGTTAAACTCTGTGAGTTGAAGGCACACATCACAAAGTAGTTTCTGAGAATGATTCTGTCTAGTTTTTATTTGAAGATATTTCCTTTTCTACTGTTGGCATCAAATCGCTTGAAATCTCCACTTGCAAATTCCACAAAAAGAGTGTTTCAAATCTGCTCTGTGTAAAGGAACGTTCCACTCTGTGAGTTGAATACACACAGCACAAAGAAGTTACTGAGAATTCTTCTGTCTAGCATGAAATGAAGAAATCCCGTTTCCAACGAAGGCCTCAATGCGGTCCATATATCCACTTGCAGACTTTACAAACAGAGTGTTTCCAAACTGCTCTATGAAAAGAAAGGTTAAACTATGTGAGTTGAACGCACACATCACAAAGAATTTTCTGAGAATGATTCTGTCTGGTTTTTATTTGAAGATATTTCCCTTTCTACTTTTGGCATCAAATGGCTAGAAATCTCCACTTGCAAATTCCGCAAAAAGAGTGTTTCAAATCTGCTCTGTCTAAAGGGACGCTCCACTCTGTCAGTTGAATGCACACAACACAAAGAATTTACTGAGACTTCTTCCGTCTAGCATTCAATGAAGAAATCCCATTTCCAATGAAGGCCTCAAACAGGTCCATATATCCAATTGCAAACTTTACAAACAGTGTGTTTCCAAACTCCTCTATGAAAAGAAAGGTTAAACTCTGTGAGTTGAACGCACACATCACAAAGCACTTTCTGAGAATGATTCTGTCTAGTTTTTATTTGAAGATATTTCCCTTTGTACTGTTGGCAACAAATGGCTAGAAATCTCCACCTGCAACTTCCGCAAAAAGAGTGTTTCAAATCTGCTCTGTCTAAAGGGACGTTCCACTCTGTGAGTTGAATGCACACAACACAAAAAAGTTACTGAGAACTCTCCGTCTAGCATTCAATGAAGAAATCCCGTTTCCAACGAAGGCCTCAAACAGGTCCATATATCCACTTGCAGACTTTACAAACAGTGTGTTTCCAAACTCCTCTATGAAAAGAAAGGTTAAACTCTGTGAGTGGAACGCACACATCACAAAGCACTTTCTGAGAATGATTCTGTCTGGTTATTATACGAAGATATTTCCTTTTCTGCAATTGTCCTCAAAACGCTTGAAATCTCCACCTGAAAATGCCACAGCAAGAGTGTTTCAAATCTGCTCTCTCTAAAGCAAGGTTCAACTCTGTGAGTTGAATACACACAACACAAAAAAGTTACTGAGAACTCTTCTTAGTCTAGCATGAAAGGAAGAAACCCCGTTTGCAACGAAGGCCTCAAAGAGGTCCAAATATCCACTTGCAGACATAACAAGCAGAGTGTTTCTAAACTGCTCTAAGAAAAGAAAGGTTAAACTCTGTGAGTTGAAGGCACACATCACAAAGTAGTTTCTGAGAATGATTCTGTCTAGTTTTTATTTGAAGATATTTCCTTTTCTACTGTTGGCATCAAATCGCTTGAAATCTCCACTTGCAAACTCCACAAAAAGAGTGTTTCAAATCTGCTCTGTGTAAAGGGACGTTCCACTCTGTGAGTTGAATACACACAGCACAAAGAAGTTACTGAGAATTCTTCTGTCTAGCATGAAATGAAGAAATCCCGTTTCCAACGAAGGCCTCAATGCGGTCCATAGATCCACTTGCAGACTTTACAAACAGAGTGTTTCCAAACTGCTCTATGAAAAGAAAGGTTAAACTATGTGAGTTGAACGCACACATCACAAAGAATTTTCTGAGAATGATTCTGTCTGGTTTTTATTTGAAGATATTTCCCTTTCTACTGTTGGCATCAAATGGCTAGAAATCTCCACTTGCAAATTCCGCAAAAAGAGTGTTTCAAATCTGCTCTGTCTAAAGGGACGTTCCACTCTGTCAGTTGAATGCACACAACACAAAGAATTTACTGAGAATTCTTCCGTCTAGCATTCAATGAAGAAAACCCGTTTCCAACGAAGGCCTCAAACAGGTCCATATATCCAATTGCAGACTTTACAAACAGTGTGTTTCCAAACTCCTCTATGAAAAGAAAGGTTAAACTCTGTGAGTTGAACGCACACATCACAAAGCACTTTCTGAGAATGATTCTGTCTAGTTTTTATTTGAAGATATTTCCCTTTCTACTGTTGGCATCAAATGGCTAGAAATCTCCACTTGCAACTTCCGCAAAAAGAGTGTTTCAAATCTGCTCTGTCTAAAGGGACGTTCCACTGTGTGAGTTGAATGCACACAACACAAAGAATTTACTGAGAATTCTTCCGTCTAGCATTCAATGAAGAAATCCCGTTTCCAACGAAGGCCTCAAACAGGTCCATATATCCACTTGCAGACGTTACAAACAGTGTGTTTCCAAACTCCTCTATGAAAAGAAAGGTTAAACTCTGTGAGTTGAACGCACACATCACAAAGCACTTTCTGTGAATGATTCTGTCTGGTTATTATACGAAGATATTTCCTTTTCTGCAATTGTCCTCAAATCGCTTGATATCTCCACCTGAAAATGCCACAGCAAGAGTGTTTCAAATCTGCTCTCTCTAAAGCAAGGTTCAACTCTGTGAGTTGAATACACACAACACAAAAAAGTTACTGAGAACTCTTCTTAGTCTAGCGTGAAAGGAAGAAACCCCGTTTGCAACGAAGGCCTCAAAGAGGTCCAAATATCCACTTGCAGACATAACAAGGAGAGTGTTTCTAAACTGCTCTAAGAAAAGAAAGGTTAAACTCTGTGAGTTGAAGGCACACATCACAAAGTAGTTTCTGAGAATGATTCTGTCTAGTTTTTATTTGAAGATATTTCCTTTTCTATTGTTGGCATCAAATCGCTTGAAATCTCCACTTGCAAACTCCACAAAAAGAGTGTTTCAAATCTGCTCTGTGCAAAGGGACGTTCCACTGCTGTGAGTTGAATACACACAGCACAAAGAAGTTACTGAGAATTCTTCTGTCTAGCATGAAATGAAGAAATCCCGTTTCCAACGAAGGCCTCAATGCGGTCCATATATCCACTTGCAGACTTTACAAACAGAGTGTTTCCAAACTGCTCTATGAAAAGAAAGGTTAAACTATGTGAGTTGAACGCACACATCACAAAGAATTTTCTGAGAATGATTCTGTCTGGTTTTTATTTGAAGATGTTTCCCTTTCTACTGTTGGCATCAAATGGCTAGAAATCTCCACTTGCAAATTCCGCAAAAAGAGTGTTTCAAATCTGCTCTGTCTAAAGGGACGTTCCACTCTGTCAGTTGAATGCACACAACACAAAGAATTTACTGAGAATTCTTCCGTCTAGCATGCAATGAAGAAATCCCGTTTCCAACGAAGGCCTCAAACAGGTCCATATATCCAATTGCAGACTTTACAAACAGTGTGTTTCCAAACTCCTCTATGAAAAGAAAGGTTAAACTCTGTGAGTTGAACGCACACATCACAAAGCACTTTCTGAGAATGATTCTGTCTGGTTATTATACGAAGATATTTCCTTTTCTGCAATTGTCCTCAAATCGCTTGAAATCTCCACCTGAAAATTCCACAGCGAGAGTGTTTCAAATCTGCTCTCTCTAAAGCAAGGTTCAACTCTGTGAGTTGAATACACACAACACAAAAAACTTACTGAGAACTCTTCTTAGTCTAGCATTAAAGGAAGAAACCCCTTTTGCAACGAAGGCCTCAAAGAGGTCCAAATATCCACTTGCAGACATAACAAGCAGAGTGTTTCTAAACTGCTCTAAGAAAAGAAAGGTTAAACTCTGTGAGTTGAAGGCACACATCACAAAGTAGTTTCTGAGAATGATTCTGTCTAGTTTTTATTTGAAGATATTTCATTTTCTACTGTTGGCATCAAATCGCTTGAAATCTCCACTTGCAAACTCCACAAAAAGAGTGTTTCAAATCTGCTCTGTGTAAAGGGACGTTCCACTCTGTGAGTTGAATACACACAGCACAAAGAAGTTACTGAGAATTCTTCTGTCTAGCATGAAATGAAGAAATCCCGTTTCCAACGAAGGCCTCAATGCGGTCCATAGATCCACTTGCAGACTTTACAAACAGAGTGTTTCCAAACTGCTCTATGAAAAGAAAGGTTAAACTATGTGAGTTGAACGCACACATCACAAAGAATTTTCTGAGAATGATTCTGTCTGGTTTTTATTTGAAGATATTTCCCTTTCTACTGTTGGCATCAAATGGGTAGAAATCTCCACTTGCAAATTCCGCAAAAAGAGTGTTTCAAATCTGCTCTGTCTAAAGGGACGTTCCACTCTGTCAGTTGAATGCACACAACACAAAGTATTTACTGAGAATTCTTCCGTCTAGCATTCAATGAAGAAATCCCGTTTCCAACGAAGGCCTCAAACAGGTCCATATATCCAATTGCAGACATTACAAACAGTGTGTTTCCAAACTCCTCTATGAAAAGAAAGGTTAAACTCTGTGAGTTGAACGCACACATCACAAAGCACTTTCTGAGAATGATTCTGTCTGGTTATTATACGAAGATATTTCCTTTTCTGCAATTGTCCTCAAATCGCTTGAAATCTCCACCTGAAAATGCCACAGCAAGAGTGTTTCAAATCTGCTCTCTCTAAAGCAAGGTTGAACTCTGTGAGTTGAATACACACAACACAAAAAAGTTACTGAGAACTCTTCTTAGTCTAGCATGAAAGGAAGAAACCCCGTTTGCAACGAAGGCCTCAAAGAGGTCCAAATATCCACTTGCAGACATAACAAGCAGAGTGTTTCTAAACTGCTCTAAGAAAAGAAAGGTTAAACTCTGTGAGTTGAAGGCACACATCACAAAGTAGTTTCTGAGAATGATTCTGTCTAGTTTTTATTTGAAGATATTTCCTTTTCTACTGTTGGCATCAAATCGCTTGAAATCTCCACTTGCAAATTCCACAAAAAGAGTGTTTCAAATCTGCTCTGTGCAAAGGGACGTTCCACTCTGTGAGTTGAATACACACAGCACAAAGAAGTTACTGAGAATTCTTCTGTCTCGCATGAAATGAAGAAATCCCGTTTCCAACGAAGGCCTCAATGCGGTCCATATATCCACTTGCAGACTTTACAAACAGAGTGTTTCCAAACTGCTCTATGAAAAGAAAGGTTAAACTATGTGAGTTGAACGCACACATCACAAAGAATTTTCTGAGAATGATTCTGTCTGGTTTTTATTTGAAGATATTTCCCTTTCTACTGTTGGCATCAAATGGCTAGAAATCTCCACTTGCAAATTCCGCAAAAAGAGTGTTTCAAATCTGCTCTGTCTAAAGGGACGTTCCACTCTGTGAGTTGAATGCACACAACACAAAGAATTTACTGAGAATTCTTCCGTCTAGCATTCAATGAAGAAATCCCGTTTCCAACGAAGGCCTCAAACAGGTCCATATATCCACTTGCAGACTTTACAAACAGTGTGTTTCCAAACTCCTCTATGAAAAGAAAGGTTAAACTCTGTGAGTTGAACGCACACATCACAAAGCACTTTCTGAGAATGATTCTGTCTGGTTGTTATACGAAGATATTTCCTTTTCTGCAATTGTCCTCAAATCGCTTGAAATCTCCACCTGAAAATGCCACAGCAAGAGTGTTTCAAATCTGCTCTCTCTAAAGCAAGGTTCTACTCTGTGAGTTGAATACACACAACACAAAAAAGTTACTGAGAACTCTTCTTAGTCTAGCATGAAAGGAAGAAACCCCGTTTGCAACGAAGGCCTCAAAGAGGTCCAAATATCCACTTGCAGACATAACAAGCAGAGTGTTTCTAAACTGCTCTAAGAAAAGAAAGGTTAAACTCTGTGAGTTGAAGGCACACATCACAAAGTAGTTTCTCAGAATGATTCTGTCTAGTTTTTATTTGAAGATATTTCCTTTTCTACTGTTGGCATCAAATCGCTTGAAATCTCCACTTGCAAACTCCACAAAAAGAGTGTTTCAAATCTGCTCTGTGTAAAGGGACGTTCCACTCTGTGAGTTGAATACACACAGCACAAAGAAGTTACTGAGAATTCTTCTGTCTAGCATGAAATGAAGAAATCCCGTTTCCAACGAAGGCCTCAATGCGGTCCATATATCCACTTGCAGACTTTACAAACAGAGTGTTTCCAAACTGCTCTATGAAAAGAAAGGTTAAACTATGTGAGTTGAATGCACACATCACAAAGAATTTTCTGAGAATGATTCTGCCTGGTTTTTATTTGAAGATATTTCCCTTTCTACTGTTGGCATCAAATGGCTAGAAATCTCCACTTGCAAATTCCGCAAAAAGAGTGTTTCAAATCTGCTCTGTCTAAAGGGACGTTCCACTCTGTGAGTTGAATGCACACAACACAAAGAATTTACTGAGAATTCTTCCGTCTAGCATTCAATGAAGAAATCCCGTTTCCAACCAAGGCCTCAAACAGGTCCATATATCCACTTGCAGACTTTACAAACAGTGTGTTTCCAAACTCCTCTATGAAAAGAAAGGTTAAACTCTGTGAGTGGAACGCACACATCACAAAGCACTTTCTGAGAATGATTCTGTCTGGTTATTATACGAAGATATTTCCTTTTCTGCAATTGTCCTCAAAACGCTTGAAATCTCCACCTGAAAATGCCACAGCAAGAGTGTTTCAAATCTGCTCTCTCTAAAGCAAGGTTCAACTCTGTGAGTTGAATACACACAACACAAAAAAGTTACTGAGAACTCTTCTTAGTCTAGCATGAAAGGAAGAAACCCCGTTTGCAACGAAGGCCTCAAAGAGGTCCAAATATCCACTTGCAGACATAACAAGCAGAGTGTTTCTAAACTGCTCTAAGAAAAGAAAGGTTAAACTCTGTGAGTTGAAGGCACACATCACAAAGTAGTTTCTGAGAATGATTCTGTCTAGTTTTTATTTGAAGATATTTCCTTTTCTACTGTTGGCATCAAATCGCTTGAAATCTCCACTTGCAAACTCCACAAAAAGAGTGTTTCAAATCTTCTCTGTGTAAAGGGACGTTCCACTCTGTGAGTTGAATACACACAGCACAAAGAAGTTACTGAGAATTCTTCTGTCTAGCATGAAATGAAGAAATCCCGTTTCCAACGAAGGCCTCAATGCGGTCCATATATCCACTTGCAGACTTTACAAACAGAGTGTTTCCAAACTGCTCTATGAAAAGAAAGGTTAAACTATGTGAGTTGAACGCACACATCACAAAGAATTTTCTGAGAATGATTCTGTCTGGTTTTTATTTGAAGATATTTCCCTTTCTACTGTTGGCATCAAATGGCTAGAAATCTCCACTTGCAAATTCCGCAAAAAGAGTGTTTCAAATCTGCTCTGTCTAAAGGGACGTTCCACTCTGTGAGTTGAATGCACACAACACAAAGAATTTACTGAGAATTCTTCCGTCTAGCATTCAATGAAGAAATCCCGTTTCCAACGAAGGCCTCAAACAGGTCCATATATCCACTTGCAGACTTTACAAACAGTGTGTTTCCAAACTCCTCTATGGAAAGAAAAGTTAAACTCTGTGAGTTGAACGCACACATCACAAAGCACTTTCTGAGAATGATTCTGTCTGGTTATTATACGAAGATATTTCCTTTTCTGCAATTGTCCTCAAAACGCTTGAAATCTCCACCTGAAAATGCCACAGCAAGAGTGTTTCAAATCTGCTCTCTCTAAAGCAAGGTTCAACTCTGTGAGTTGAATACACACAACACAAAAAAGTTACTGAGAACTCTTCTTAGTCTAGCATGAAAGGAAGAAACCCCGTTTGCAACGAAGGCCTCAAAGAGGTCCAAATATCCACTTGCAGACATAACAAGCAGAGTGTTTCTAAACTGCTCTAAGAAAAGAAAGGTTAAACTCTGTGAGTTGAAGGCACACATCACAAAGTAGTTTCTGAGAATGATTCTGTCTAGTTTTTATTTGAAGATATTTCCTTTTCTACTGTTGGCATCAAATCGCTTGAAATCTCCACTTGCAAACTCCACAAAAAGAGTGTTTCAAATCTGCTCTGTGTAAAGGGACGTTCCACTCTGTGAGTTGAATACACACAGCACAAAGAAGTTACTGAGAATTCTTCTGTCTAGCATGAAATGAAGAAATCCCGTTTCCAACGAAGGCCTCAATGCGGTCCATATATCCACTTGCAGACTTTACAAACAGAGTGTTTCCAAACTGCTCTATGAAAAGAAAGGTTAAACTATGTGAGTTGAACGCACACATCACAAAGAATTTTCTGAGAATGATTCTGTCTGGTTTTTATTTGAAGATATTTCCCTTTCTACTGTTGGCATCAAATGGCTAGAAATCTCCACTTGCAAATTCCGCAAAAAGAGTGTTTCAAATCTGCTCTGTCTAAAGGGACGTTCCACTCTGTGAGTTGAATGCACACAACACAAAGAATTTACTGAGAATTCTTCCCTCTAGCATTCAATGAAGAAATCCCGTTTCCAACGAAGGCCTCAAACAGGTCCATATATCCACTTGCAGAGTTTACAAACAGTGTGTTTCCAAACTCCTCTATGAAAAGAAAGGTTAAACTCTGTGAGTGGAACGCACACATCACAAAGCACTTTCTGAGAATGATTCTGTCTGGTTGTTATACGAAGATATTTCCTTTTCTGTAATTGTCCTCAAATCGCTTGAAATCTCCACCTGAAAATGCCACAGCAAGAGTGTTTCAAATCTGCTCTCTCTAAAGCAAGGTTCAACTCTGTGAGTTGAATACACACAACACAAAAAAGTTACTGAGAACTCTTCTTAGTCTAGCATGAAAGGAAGAAACCCCGTTTGCAACGAAGGCCTCAAAGAGGTCCAAATATCCACTTGCAGACATAACAAGCAGAGTGTTTCTAAACTGCTCTAAGAAAAGAAAGGTTAAACTCTGAGAGTTGAAGGCACACATCACAAAGTAGTTTCTGAGAATGATTCTGTCTAGTTTTTATTTGAAGATACTTCCTTTTCTACTGTTGGCATCAAATCGCTTGAAATCTCCACTTGCAATCTCCACAAAAAGAGTGTTTCAAATCCGCTCTGTGCAAAGGGACGTTCCACTCTGTGAGTTGAATACACACAGCACAAAGAAGTTACTGAGAATTCTTCTGTCTAGCATGAAATGAAGAAATCCCGTTTCCAACGAAGGCCTCAATGCGGTCCATATATCCACTTGCAGACTTTACAAACAGAGTGTTTCCAAACTGCTCTATGAAAAGAAAGGTTAAACTATGTGAGTTGAACGCACACATCACAAAGAATTTTCTGAGAATGATTCTGTCTGGTTTTTATTTGAAGATATTTCCCTTTCTACTGTTGGCATCAAATGGCTAGAAATCTCCACTTGCAAATTCCGCAAAAAGAGTGTTTCAAATCTGCTCTGTCTAAAGGGACGTTCCACTCTGTGAGTTGAATGCACACAACACAAAGAATTTACTGAGAATTCTTCCGTCTAGCATTCAATGAAGAAATCCCGTTTCCAACGAAGGCCTCAAACAGCTCCATATATCCAATTGCAGACTTTACAAACAGTGTGTTTCCAAACTCCTCTATGAAA
The DNA here is from genome assembly GCF_000001405.40 of Homo sapiens. NCBI lineage: Eukaryota > Metazoa > Chordata > Mammalia > Primates > Hominidae > Homo > Homo sapiens. The sequence goes on along the minus strand of NC_000007.14, from coordinate 58,534,699 downwards.
AGAAAGGTTAAACTCTGTGAGTTGAACGCACACATCACAAAGCACTTTCTGAGAATGATTCTGTCTGGTTATTATACGAAGATATTTCCTTTTCTGCAATTGTCCTCAAATCGCTTGAAATCTCCACCTGAAAATGCCACAGCAAGAGTGTTTCAAATCTGCTCTCTCTAAAGCAAGGTTCAACTCTGTGAGTTGAATACACACAACACAAAAAAGTTACTGAGAACTCTTCTTAGTCTAGCATGAAAGGAAGAAACCCCGTTTGCAACGAAGGCCTCAAAGAGGTCCAAATATCCACTTGCAGACATAACAAGCAGAGTGTTTCTAAACTGCTCTAAGAAAAGAAAGGTTAAACTCTGTGAGTTGAAGGCACACATCACAAAGTAGTTTCTGAGAATGATTCTGTCTAGTTTTTATTTGAAGATATTTCCTTTTCTACTGTTGGCATCAAATCGCTTGAAATCTCCACTTGCAAACTCCACAAAAAGAGTGTTTCAAATCTGCTCTGTGCAAAGGGACGTTCCACTCTGTGAGTTGAATACACACAGCACAAAGAAGTTACTGAGAATTCTCTGTCTAGCATGAAATGAAGAAATCCCGTTTCCAACGAAGGCCTCAATGCGGTCCATATATCCACTTGCAGACTTTACAAACAGAGTGTTTCCAAACTGCTCTATGAAAAGAAAGGTTAAACTATGTGAGTTGAACGCACACATCACAAAGAATTTTCTGAGAATGATTCTGTCTGGTTTTTATTTGAAGATATTTCCCTTTCTACTGTTGGCATCAAATGGCTAGAAATCTCCACTTGCAAATTCCGCAAAAAGAGTGTTTCAAATCTGCTCTGTCTAAAGGGACGTTCCACTCTGTGAGTTGAATGCACACAACACAAAGAATTTACTGAGAATTCTTCTGTCTAGCAGTCAATGAAGAAATCCCGTTTCCAACGAAGGCCTCAAACAGGTCCATATATCCAATTGCAGACTTTACAAACAGTGTGTTTCCAAACTCCTCTATGAAAAGAAAGGTTAAACTCTGTGAGTTGAACCCACACATCACAAAGCACTTTCTGAGAATGATTCTGTCTGGTTGTTATACGAAGATATTTCCTTTTCTGCAATTTTCCTCAAATCGCTTGAAATCTCCACCTGAAAATGCCACAGCAAGAGTGTTTCAAATCTGCTCTCTCTAAAGCAAGGTTCAACTCTGTGAGTTGAATACACACAGCACAAAGAAGTTACTGAGAATTCTTCTGTCTAGCATGAAATGAAGAAATCCCGTTTCCAACGAAGGCCTCAATGCGGTCCATATATCCACTTGCAGACTTTACAAACAGAGTGTTTCCAAACTGCTCTATGAAAAGAAAGGTTAAACTATGTGAGTTGAACGCACACATCACAAAGAATTTTCTGAGAATGATTCTGTCTGGTTTTTATTTGAAGATATTTCCCTTTCTACTGTTGGCATCAAATGGCTAGAAATCTCCACTTGCAAATTCCGCAAAAAGAGTGTTTCAAATCTGCTCTGTCTAAAGGGACGTTCCACTCTGTGAGTTGAATACACACAGCACAAAGAAGTTACTGAGAATTCTTCTGTCTAGCATGAAATGAAGAAATCCCGTTTCCAACGAAGGCCTCAATGCGGTCCATATATCCACTTGCAGACTTTACAAACAGAGTGTTTCCAAACTGCTCTATGAAAAGAAAGGTTAAACTATGTGAGTTGAACGCACACATCACAAAGAATTTTCTGAGAATGATTCTGTCTGGTTTTTATTTGAAGATATTTCCCTTTCTACTGTTGGCATGAAATGGCTAGAAATCTCCACTTGCAAATTCCGCAAAAAGAGTGTTTCAAATCTGCTCTGTCTAAAGGGACGTTCCACTCTGTCAGTTGAATGCACACAACACAAAGAATTTACTGAGAATTCTTCCGTCTAGCATTCAATGAAGAAATCCCGTTTCCAACGAAGGCCTCAAACAGGTCCATATATCCAATTGCAGACTTTACAAACAGTGTGTTTCCAAACTCCTCTATGAAAAGAAAGGTTAAACTCTGTGAGTTGAACGCACACATCACAAAGCACTTTCTGAGAATGATTCTGTCTAGTTTTTATTTGAAGATATTTCCCTTTGTACTGTTGGCAACAAATGGCTAGAAATCTCCACCTGCAACTTCCGCAAAAAGAGTGTTTCAAATCTGCTCTGTCTAAAGGGACGTTCCACTCTGTGAGTTGAATGCACACAACACAAAAAAGTTACTGAGAACTCTTCTTAGTCTAGCATTAAAGGAAGAAACCCCGTTTGCAACGAAGGCCTCAAAGAGGTCCAAATATCCACTTGCAGACATAACAAGCAGAGTGTTTCTAAACTGCTCTAAGAAAAGAAAGGTTAAACTCTCTGAGTTGAAGGCACACATCACAAAGTAGTTTCTGAGAATGATTCTGTCTAGTTTTTATTTGAAGATATTTCCTTTTCTACTGTTGGCATCAAATCGCTTGAAATCTCCACTTGCAAACTCCACAAAAAGAGTGTTTCAAATCTGCTCTGTGTAAAGGGACGTTCCACTCTGTGAGTTGAATACACACAGCACAAAGAAGTTACTGAGTATTCTTCTGTCTAGCATGAAATGAAGAAATCCCGTTTCCAACGAAGGCCTCAATGCGGTCCATATATCCACTTGCAGACTTTACAAACAGAGTGTTTCCAAACTGCTCTATGAAAAGAAAGGTTAAACTATGTGAGTTGAACGCACACATCACAAAGAATTTTCTGAGAATGATTCTGTCTGGTTTTTATTTGAAGATATTTCCCTTTCTACTGTTGGCATCAAATGGCTAGAAATCTCCACTTGCAAATTCCGCAAAAAGAGTGTTTCAAATCTGCTCTGTCTAAAGGGACGTTCCACTCTGTGAGTTGAATGCACACAACACAAAGAATTTACTGAGAATTCTTCCGTCTAGCATTCAATGAAGAAATCCCGTTTCCAACGAAGGCCTCAAACAGGTCCATATATCCAATTGCAGACTTTACAAACAGTGTGTTTCCAAACTCCTCTATGAAAAGAAAGGTTAAACTCTGTGAGTTGAACGCACACATCACAAAGAACTTTCTGAGAATGATTCTGTCTGGTTGTTATACGAAGATATTTCCTTTTCTGCAATTGTCCTCAAATCGCTTGAAATCTCCACCTGAAAATGCCACAGCAAGAGTGTTTCAAATCTGCTCTCTCTAAAGCAAGGTTCAACTCTGTGAGTTGAATACACACAACACAAAAAAGTTACTGAGAACTCTTCTTAGTCTAGCATGAAATGAAGAAACCCCGTTTGCAACGAAGGCCTCAAAGAGGTCCAAATATCCACTTGCAGACATAACAAGCAGAGTGTTTCTAAACTGCTCTATGAAAAGAAAGGTTAAACTCTGTGAGTTGAAGGCACACATCACAAAGTAGTTTCTGAGAATGATTCTGTCTAGTTTTTATTTGAAGATATTTCCTTTTCTACTGTTGGCATCAAATCGCTTGAAATCTCCACTTGCAAACTCCACAAAAAGAGTGTTTCAAATCTGCTCTGTGCAAAGGGACGTTCCACTCTGTGAGTTGAATACACACAGCACAAAGAAGTTACTGAGAATTCTTCTGTCTAGCATGAAATGAAGAAATCCCTTTTCCAACGAAGGCCTCAATGCGGTCCATATATCCACTTGCAGACTTTACAAACAGAGTGTTTCCAAACTGCTCTATGAAAAGAAAGGTTAAACTATGTGAGTTGAACGCACACATCACAAAGAATTTTCTGAGAATGATTCTGTCTGGTTTTTATTTGAAGATATTTCCCTTTCTACTGTTGGCATCAAATGGCTAGAAATCTCCACTTGCAAATTCCGCAAAAAGAGTGTTTCAAATCTGCTCTGTCTAAAGGGACGTTCCACTCTGTGAGTTGAATGCACACCACACAAAGAATTTACTGAGAATTCTTCCGTCTAGCATTCAATGAAGAAATCCCGTTTCCAACGAAGGCCTCAAACAGGTCCATATATCCAATTGCAGACTTTACAAACAGTGTGTTTCCAAACTCCTCTATGAAAAGAAAGGTTAAACTACTGTGAGTTGAACGCACACATCACAAAGCACTTTCTGAGAATGATTCTGTCTGGTTATTATACGAAGATATTTCCTTTTCTGCAATTGTCCTCAAATCGCTTGAAATCTCCACCTGAAAATGCCACAGCAAGAGTGTTTCAAATCTGCTCTCTCTAAAGCAAGGTTCAACTCTGTGAGTTGAATACACACAACACCAAAAAGTTACTGAGAACTCTTCTTAGTCTAGCATGAAAGGAAGAAACCCCGTTTGCAACCGAAGGCCTCAAAGAGGTCCAAATATCCACTTGCAGACATAACAAGCAGAGTGTTTCTAAACTGCTCTGAGAAAAGAAAGGTTAAACTCTGTGAGTTGAAGGCACACATCACAAAGTAGTTTCTGAGAATGATTCTGTCTAGTTTTTATTTGAAGATATTTCCTTTTCTACTGTTGGCATCAAATCGCTTGAAATCTCCACTTGCAAATTCCACAAAAAGAGTGTTTCAAATCTGCTCTGTGCAAACGGACGTTCCAGTGTGTGAGTTGAATACACACAGCACAGAGAAGTTACTGAGAATTCTTCTGTCTAGCATGAAATGAAGAAATCCCGTTTCCAACGAAGGCCTCAATGCGGTCCATATATCCACTTGCAGACTTTACAAACAGAGTGTTTCCAAACTGCTCTATGAAAAGAAAGGTTAAACTATGTGAGTTGAACGCACACATCACAAAGAATTTTCTGAGAATGATTCTGTCTGGTTTTTATTTGAAGATATTTCCCTTTCTACTGTTGGCATCAAATGGCTAGAAATCTCCACTTGCAAATTCCGCAAAAAGAGTGTTTCAAATCTGCTCTGTCTAAAGGGACGTTCCACTCTGTGAGTTGAATGCACACAACACAAAGAATTTACTGAGAATTCTTCCGTCTAGCATTCAATGAAGAAATCCCGTTTCCAACGAAGGCCTCAAACAGGTCCATATATCCAATTGCAGACTTTACAAACAGTGTGTTTCCAAACTCCTCTATGAAAAGAAAGGTTAAACTCTGTGAGTTGAACGCACACAACACAAAGCACTTTCTGAGAATGATTCTGTCTGGTTATTATACGAAGATATTTCCTTTTCTGCAATTGTCCTCAAATCGCTTGAAATCTCCACCTGAAAATGCCACAGCAAGAGTGTTTCAAATCTGCTCTCTCTAAAGCAAGGTTCAACTCTGTGAGTTGAATACACACAACACAAAAAAGTTACTGAGAACTCTTCTTAGTCTAGCATGAAAGGAAGAAACCCCGTTTGCAACGAAGGCCTCAAAGAGGTCCAAATATCCACTTGCAGACATAACAAGCAGAGTGTTTCTAAACTGCTCTAAGAAAAGAAAGGTTAAACTCTGTGAGTTGAAGGCACACATCACAAAGTAGTTTCTGAGAATGATTCTGTCTAGTTTTTATTTGAAGATATTTCCTTTTCTACTGTTGGCATCAAATCGCTTGAAATCTCCACTTGCAAACTCCACAAAAAGAGTGTTTCAAATCTGCTCTGTGCAAAGGGACGTTCCACTCTGTGAGTTGAATACACACAGCACAAAGAAGTTACTGAGAATTCTTCTGTCTAGCATGAAATGAAGAAATCCCGTTTCCAACGAAGGCCTCAATGCGGTCCATATATCCACTTGCAGACTTTACAAACAGAGTGTTTCCAAACTGCTCTATGAAAAGAAAGGTTAAACTATGTGAGTTGAACGCACACATCACAAAGAATTTTCTGAGAATGATTCTGTCTGGTTTTTATTTGAAGATATTTCCCTTTCTACTGTTGGCATCAAATGGCTAGAAATCTCCACTTGCAAATTCCGCAAAAAGAGTGTTTCAAATCTGCTCTGTCTAAAGGGACGTTCCACTCTGTGAGTTGAATGCACACAACACAAAGAATTTACTGAGAATTCTTCCGTCTAGCATTCAATGAAGAAATCCCGTTTCCAACGAAGGCCTCAAACAGGTCCATATATCCACTTGCAGAGTTTACAAACAGTTTGTTTCCAAACTCCTCTATGAAAAGAAAGGTTAAACTCTGTGAGTGGAACGCACACATCACAAAGCACTTTCTGAGAATGATTCTGTCTGGTTGTTATACGAAGATATTTCCTTTTCTGCAATTGTCCTCAAATCGCTTGAAATCTCCACCTGAAAATGCCACAGCAAGAGTGTTTCAAATCTGCTTTCTCTAAAGCAAGGTTCAACTCTGTGAGTTGAATACACACAACACAAAAAAGTTACTGAGAACTCTTCTTAGTCTAGCATTAAAGGAAGAAACCGCGTTTGCAACGAAGGCCTCAAAGAGGTCCAAATATCCACTTGCAGACATAACAAGCAGAGTGTTTCTAAACTGCTCTAAGAAAAGAAAGGTTAAACTCTGTGAGTTGAAGGCACACATCACAAAGTAGTTTCTGAGAATGATTCTGTCTAGTTTTTATTTGAAGATATTTCCTTTTCTACTGTTGGCATCAAATCGCTTGAAATCTCCACTTGCAAATTCCACAAAAAGAGTGTTTCAAATCTGCTCTGTGCAAAGGGACGTTCCACTCTGTGAGTTGAATACACACAGCACAAAGAAGTTACTGAGAATTCTTCTGTCTAGCATGAAATGAAGAAATCCCGTTTCCAACGAAGGCCTCAATGCGGTCCATATATCCACTTGCAGACTTTACAAACAGAGTGTTTCCAAACTGCTCTATGAAAAGAAAGGTTAAACTATGTGAGTTGAACGCACACATCACAAAGAATTTTCTGAGAATGATTCTGTCTGGTTTTTATTTGAAGATATTTCCCTTTCTACTGTTGGCATCAAATGGCTAGAAATCTCCACTTGCAAATTCCGCAAAAAGAGTGTTTCAAATCTGCTCTGTCTAAAGGGACGTTCCACTCTGTGAGTTGAATGCACACAACACAAAGAATTTACTGAGAATTCTTCCGTCTAGCATTCAATGAAGAAATCCCGTTTCCAACGAAGGCCTCAAACAGGTCCATATATCCACTTGCAGAGTTTACAAACAGTGTGTTTCCAAACTCCTCTATGAAAAGAAAGGTTAAACTCTGTGAGTGGAACGCACACATCACAAAGCACTTTCTGAGAATGATTCTGTCTGGTTATTATACGAAGATATTCCCTTTTCTGCAATTTTCCTCAAATCGCTTGAAATCTCCACTTGAAAATGCCACAGCAAGAGTGTTTCAAATCTGCTCTCTCTAAAGCAAGGTTCAACTCTGTGAGTTGAATACACACAGCACAAAGAAGTTACTGAGAATTCTTCTGTCTAGCATGAAATGAAGAAATCCCGTTTCCAACGAAGGCCTCAATGCGGTCCATATATCCACTTGCAGACTTTACAAACAGAGTGTTTCCAAACTGCTCTATGAAAAGAAAGGTTAAACTATGTGAGTTGAACGCACACATCACAAAGAATTTTCTGAGAATGATTCTGTCTGGTTTTTATTTGAAGATATTTCCCTTTCTACTGTTGGCATCAAATGGCTAGAAATCTCCACTTGCAAATTCCGCAAAAAGAGTGTTTCAAATCTGCTCTGTCTAAAGGGACGTTCCACTCTGTGAGTTGAATGCACACAACACAAAGAATTTACTGAGAATTCTTCCGTCTAGCATTCAATGAAGAAATCCCGTTTCCAACGAAGGCCTCAAACAGGTCCATATATCCACTTGCAGACTTTACAAACAGTGTGTTTCCAAACTCCTCTATGAAAAGAAAGGTTAAACTCTGTGAGTGGAACGCACACATCACAAAGCACTTTCTGAGAATGATTCTGTCTGGTTGTTATACGAAGATATTTCCTTTTCTGCAATTGTCCTCAAATCGCTTGAAATCTCCACCTGAAAATGCCACAGCAAGAGTGTTTCAAATCTGCTCTCTCTAAAGCAAGGTTCAACTCTGTGAGTTGAATACACACAGCACAAAAAAGTTACTGAGAACTCTTCTTAGTCTAGCATGAAAGGAAGAAACCCCGTTTGCAACGAAGGCCTCAAAGAGGTCCAAATATCCACTTGCAGACATAACAAGCAGAGTGTTTCTAAACTGCTCTAAGAAAAGAAAGGTTAAACTCTGTGAGTTGAAGGCACACATCACAAAGTAGTTTCTGAGAATGGTTCTGTCTAGTTTTTATTTGAAGATATTTCCTTTTCTACTGTTGGCATCAAATCGCTTGAAATCTCCACTTGCAAACTCCACAAAAAGAGTGTTTCAAATCTGCTCTGTGCAAACGGACGTTCCAGTCTGTGAGTTGAATACACACAGCACAGAGAAGTTACTGAGAATTCTTCTGTCTAGCATGAAATGAAGAAATCCCGTTTCCAACGAAGGCCTCAATGCGGTCCATATATCCACTTGCAGACTTTACAAACAGAGTGTTTCCAAACTGCTCTATGAAAAGAAAGGTTAAACTATGTGAGTTGAACGCACACATCACAAAGAATTTTCTGAGAATGATTCTGTCTGGTTTTTATTTGAAGATATTTCCCTTTCTACTGTTGGCATCAAATGGCTAGAAATCTCCACTTGCAAATTCCGCAAAAAGAGTGTTTCAAATCTGCTCTGTCTAAAGGGACGTTCCACTCTGTGAGTTGAATGCACACAACACAAAGAATTTACTGAGAATTCTTCCGTCTAGCATGCAATGAAGAAATCCCGTTTCCAACGAAGGCCTCAAACAGGTCCATATATCCAATTGCAGACTTTACAAACAGTGTGTTTCCAAACTCCTCTATGAAAAGAAAGGTTAAACTCTGTGAGTTGAACGCACACATCACAAAGCACTTTCTGAGAATGATTCTGTCTGGTTATTATACGAAGATATTTCCTTTTCTGCAATTGTCCTCAAATCGCTTGAAATCTCCACCTGAAAATTCCACAGCGAGAGTGTTTCAAATCTGCTCTCTCTAAAGCAAGGTTCAACTCTGTGAGTTGAATACACACAACACAAAAAAGTTACTGAGAACTCTTCTTAGTCTAGCATTAAAGGAAGAAACCCCTGTTTGCAACGAAGGCCTCAAAGAGGTCCAAATATCCACTTGCAGACATAACAAGCAGAGTGTTTCTAAACTGCTCTAAGAAAAGAAAGGTTAAACTCTGTGAGTTGAAGGCACACATCACAAAGTAGTTTCTGAGAATGATTCTGTCTAGTTTTTATTTGAAGATATTTCCTTTTCTACTGTTGGCATCAAATCGCTTGAAATCTCCACTTGCAAACTCCACAAAAAGAGTGTTTCAAATCTGCTCTGTGTAAAGGAACGTTCCACTCTGTGAGTTGAATACACACAGCACAAAGAAGTTACTGAGAATTCTTCTGTCTAGCATGAAATGAAGAAATCCCGTTTCCAACGAAGGCCTCAATGCGGTCCATATATCCACTTGCAGACTTTACAAACAGAGTGTTTCCAAACTGCTCTATGAAAAGAAAGGTAAAACTATGTGAGTTGAACGCACACATCACAAAGAATTTTCTGAGAATGATTCTGTCTGGTTTTTATTTGAAGATATTTCCCTTTCTACTGTTGGCATCAAATGGCTAGAAATCTCCACTTGCAAATTCCGCAAAAAGAGTGTTTCAAATCTGCTCTGTCTAAAGGGACGTTCCACTCTGTGAGTTGAATGCACACAACACAAAGAATTTACTGAGAATTCTTCCGTCTAGCATTCAATGAAGAAATCCCGTTTCCAAAGAAGGCCTCAAACAGGTCCATATATCCAATTGCAGACTTTACAAACAGTGTGTTTCCAAACTCCTCTATGAAAAGAAAGGTTAAACTCTGTGAGTTGAACGCACACATCACAAAGCACTTTCTGAGAATGATTCTGTCTGGTTATTATACGAAGATATTTCCTTTTCTGCAATTGTCCTCAAATCGCTTGAAATCTCCACCTGAAAATGCCACATCAAGAGTGTTTCAAATCTGCTCTCTCTAAAGCAAGGTTCAACTCTGTGAGTTGAATACACACAACACAAAAAAGTTACTGAGAACTCTTCTTAGTCTAGCATGAAAGGAAGAAACCCCGTTTGCAACGAAGGCCTCAAAGAGGTCCAAATATCCACTTGCAGACATAACAAGCAGAGTGTTTCTAAACTGCTCTAAGAAAAGAAAGGTTAAACTCTGTGAGTTGAAGGCACACATCACAAAGTAGTTTTTGAGAATGATTCTGTCTAGTTTTTATTTGAAGATATTTCCTTTTCTACTGTTGGCATCAAATCGCTTGAAATCTCCACTTGCAAACTCCACAAAAAGAGTGTTTCAAATCCGCTCTGTGCAAAGGGACGTTCCACTCTGTGAGTTGAATACACACAGCACAAAGAAGTTACTGAGAATTCTTCTGTCTAGCATGAAATGAAGAAATCCCGTTTCCAACGAAGGCCTCAATGCGGTCCATATATCCACTTGCAGACTTTACAAACAGAGTGTTTCCAAACTGCTCTATGAAAAGAAAGGTTAAACTATGTGAGTTGAACGCACACATCACAAAGAATTTTCTGAGAATGATTCTGTCTGGTTTTTATTTGAAGATATTTCCCTTTCTACTGTTGGCATCAAATGGCTAGAAATCTCCACTTGCAAATTCCGCAAAAAGAGTGTTTCAATTCTGCTCTGTCTAAAGGGACGTTCCACTCTGTGAGTTGAATGCACACAACACAAAGAATTTACTGAGAATTCTTCCGTCTAGCATTCAATGAAGAAATCCCGTTTCCAACGAAGGCCTCAAACAGGTCCATATATCCAATTGCAGACTTTACAAACAGTGTGTTTCCAAACTCCTCTATGAAAAGAAAGCTTAAACTCTGTGAGTTGAACGCACACATCACAAAGCACTTTCTGAGAATGATTCTGTCTGGTTATTATACGAAGATATTTCCTTTTCTGCAATTGTCCTCAAATCGCTTGAAATCTCCACCTGAAAATGCCACAGCAAGAGTGTTTCAAATCTGCTCTCTCTAAAGCAAGGTTCAACTCTGTGAGTTGAATACACACAACACAAAAAAGTTACTGAGAACTCTTCTTTGTCTAGCATTAAAGGAAGAAACCCCGTTTGCAACGAAGGCCTCAAAGAGGTCCAAATATCCACTTGCAGACATAACAAGCAGAGTGTTTCTAAAGTGCTCTAAGAAAAGAAAGGTTAAACTCTGTGAGTTGAAGGCACACATCACAAAGTAGTTTCTGAGAATGATTCTGTCTAGTTTTTATTTGAAGATATTTCCTTTTCTACTGTTGGCATCAAATCGCTTGAAATCTCCACTTGCAAATTCCACAAAAAGAGTGTTTCAAATCCTGCTCTGTGCAAAGGGACGTTCCACTCTGTGAGTTGAATACACACAGCACAAAGAAGTTACTGAGATTTCTTCTGTCTAGCATGAAATGAAGAAATCCCGTTTCCAACGAAGGCCTCAATGCGGTCCATATATCCACTTGCAGACTTTACAAACAGAGTGTTTCCAAACTGCTCTATGAAAAGAAAGGTTAAACTATGTGAGTTGAACGCACACATCACAAAGAATTTTCTGAGAATGATTCTGTCTGGTTTTTATTTGAAGATATTTCCCTTTCTACTGTTGGCATCAAATGGCTAGAAATCTCCACTTGCAAATTCCGCAAAAAGAGTGTTTCAAATCTGCTCTGTCTAAAGGGACGTTCCACTCTGTGAGTTGAATGCACACAACACAAAGAATTTACTGAGAATTCTTCCGTCTAGCATTCAATGAAGAAATCCCGTTTCCAACGAAGGCCTCAAACAGGTCCATATATCCAATTGCAGACTTTACAAACAGTGTGTTTCCAAACTCCTCTATGAAAAGAAAGGTTAAACTCTGTGAGTTGAACGCACACATCACAAAGCACTTTCTGAGAATGATTCTGTCTGGTTATTATACGAAGATATTTCCTTTTCTGCAATTGTCCTCAAATCGCTTGAAATCTCCACCTGAAAATGCCACAGCAAGAGTGTTTCAAATCTGCTCTCTCTAAAGCAAGGTTCAACTCTGTGAGTTGAATACACACAACACAAAAAAGTTACTGAGAACTCTTCTTAGTCTAGCATGAAAGGAAGAAACCCCGTTTGCAACGAAGGCCTCAAAGAGGTCCAAATATCCACTTGCAGACATAACAAGCAGAGTGTTTCTAAACTGCTCTAAGAAAAGAAAGGTTAAACTCTGTGAGTTGAAGGCACACATCACAAAGTAGTTTCTGAGAATGATTCTGTCTAGTTTTTATTTGAAGATATTTCCTTTTCTACTGTTGGCATCAAATCGCTTGAAATCTCCACTTGCAAACTCCACAAAAAGAGTGTTTCAAATCTGCTCTGTGTAAAGGGACGTTCCACTCTGTGAGTTGAATACACACAGCACAAAGAAGTTACTGAGAATTACTTTGGCTAGCATGAAATGAAGAAATCCCGTTTCCAACGAAGGCCTCAATGCGGTCCATATATCCACTTGCAGACTTTACAAACAGAGTGTTTCCAAACTGCTCTATGAAAAGAAAGGTTAAACTATGTGAGTTGAACGCACACATCACAAAGAATTTTCTGAGAATGATTCTGTCTGGTTTTTATTTGAAGATATTTCCCTTTCTACTGTTGGCATCAAATGGCTAGAAATCTCCACTTGCAAATTCCGCCAAAAAGTGTTTCAAATCTTCTCTGTCTAAAGGGACGTTCCACTCTGTGAGTTGAATGCACACAACACAAAGAATTTACTGAGAATTCTTCCGTCTAGCATTCAATGAAGAAATCCCGTTTCCAACGAAGGCCTCAAACAGGTCCATATATCCAATTGCAGACATTACAAACAGTGTGTTTCCAAACTCCTCTATGAAAAGAAAGGTTAAACTCTGTGAGTTGAACGCACACATCACAAAGCACTTTCTGAGAATGATTCTGTCTGGTTATTATACGAAGATATTTCCTTTTCTGCAATTGTCCTCAAATCGCTTGAAATCTCCACCTGAAAATGCCACAGCAAGAGTGTTTCAAATCTGCTCTCTCTAAAGCAAGGTTCAACTCTGTGAGTTGAATACACACAACACAAAAAAGTTACTGAGAACTCTTCTTAGTCTAGCATGAAAGGAAGAAACCCCGTTTGCAACGAAGGCCTCAAAGAGGTCCAAATATCCACTTGCAGACATAACAAGCAGAGTGTTTCTCAACTGCTCTAAGAAAAGAAAGGTTAAACTCTGTGAGTTGAAGGCAGACATCACAAAGTAGTTTCTGAGAATGATTCTGTCTAGTTTTTATTTGAAGATATTTCCTTTTCTACTGTTGGCATCAAATCGCTTGAAATCTCCACTTGCAAACTCCACAAAAAGAGTGTTTCAAATCTGCTCTGTGCAAAGGGACGTTCCACTCTGTGAGTTGAATACACACAGCACAAAGAAGTTACTGAGAATTCTTCTGTCTAGCATGAAATGAAGAAATCCCGTTTCCAACGAAGGCCTCAATGCGGTCCATATATCCACTTGCAGACTTTACAAACAGAGTGTTTCCAAACTGCTCTATGAAAAGAAAGGTTAAACTATGTGAGTTGAACGCACACATCACAAAGAATTTTCTGAGAATGATTCTGTCTGGTTTTTATTTGAAGATATTTCCCTTTCTACTGTTGGCATCAAATGGCTAGAAATCTCCACTTGCAAATTCCGCAAAAAGAGTGTTTCAAATCTGCTCTGTCTAAAGGGACGTTCCACTCTGTGAGTTGAATGCACACAACACAAAGAATTTACTGAGAATTCTTCCGTCTAGCATTCAATAAAGAAATCCCGTTTCCAACGAAGGCCTCAAACAGGTCCATATATCCACTTGCAGACTTTACAAACAGTGTGTTTCCAAACTCCTCTATGAAAAGAAAGGTTAAACTCTGTGAGTGGAACGCACACATCACAAAGCACTTTCTGAGAATGATTCTGTCTGGTTATTATACGAAGATATTTCCTTTTCTGCAATTGTCCTCAAATCGCTTGAAATCTCCACCTGAAAATGCCACAGCAAGAGTGTTTCAAATCTGCTCTCTCTAAAGCAAGGTTCAACTCTGTGAGTTGAATACACACAACACAAAAAAGTTACTGAGAACTCTTCTTAGTCTAGCATGAAAGGAAGAAACCCCGTTTGCAACGAAGGCCTCAAAGAGGTCCAAATATCCACTTGCAGACATAACAAGCAGAGTGTTTCTAAACTGCTCTAAGAAAAGAAAGGTTAAACTCTGTGAGTTGAAGGCACACATCACAAAGCAGTTTCTGAGAATGATTCTGTCTAGTTTTTATTTGAAGATATTTCCTTTTCTACTGTTGGCATCAAATCGCTTGAAATCTCCACTTGCAAACTCCACAAAAAGAGTGTTTCAAATCTGCTCTGTGCAAAGGGACGTTCCACTCTGTGAGTTGAATACACACAGCACAAAGAAGTTACTGAGAATTCTTCTGTCTAGCATGAAATGAAGAAATCCCGTTTCCAACGAAGGCCTCAATGCGGTCCATATATCCACTTGCAGACTTTACAAACAGAGTGTTTCCAAACTGCTCTATGAAAAGAAAGGTTAAACTATGTGAGTTGAACGCACACATCACAAAGAATTTTCTGAGAATGATTCTGTCTGGTTTTTATTTGAAGATATTTCCCTTTCTACTGTTGGCATCAAATGGCTAGAAATCTCCACTTGCAAATTCCGCAAAAAGAGTGTTTCAAATCTGCTCTGTCTAAAGGGACGTTCCACTCTGTGAGTTGAATGCACACAACACAAAGAATTTACTGAGAATTCTTCCGTCTAGCATTCAATGAAGAAATCCCGTTTCCAACGAAGGCCTCAAACAGGTCCATATATCCAATTGCAGACTTTACAAACAGTGTGTTTCCAAACTCCTCTATGAAAAGAAAGGTTAAACTCTGTGAGTTGAACGCACACAACACAAAGCACTTTCTGAGAATGATTCTGTCTGGTTATTATACGAAGATATTTCCTTTTCTGCAATTGTCCTCAAATCGCTTGAAATCTCCACCTGAAAATGCCACAGCAAGAGTGTTTGAAATCTGCTCTCTCTAAAGCAAGGTTCAACTCTGTGAGTTGAATACACACAACACAAAAAAGTTACTGAGAACTCTTCTTAGTCTAGCATTAAAGGAAGAAACCCCGTTTGCAACGAAGGCCTCAAAGAGGTCCAAATATCCACTTGCAGACATAACAAGCAGAGTGTTTCTAAACTGCTCTAAGAAAAGAAAGGTTAAACTCTGTGAGTTGAAGGCACACATCACAAAGTAGTTTCTGAGAATGATTCTGTCTAGTTTTTATTTGAAGATATTTCCTTTTCTACTGTTGGCATCAAATCGCTTGAAATCTCCACTTGCAAACTCCACAAAAAGAGTGTTTCAAATCTGCTCTGTGCAAAGGGACGTTCCACTCTGTCAGTTGAATACACACAGCACAAAGAAGTTACTGAGAATTCTTCTGTCTAGCATGAAATGAAGAAATCCCGTTTCCAACGAAGGCCTCAATGCGGTCCATATATCCACTTGCAGACTTTACAAACAGAGTGTTTCCAAACTACTCTATGAAAAGAAAGGTTAAACTATGTGAGTTGAACGCACACATCACAAAGAATTTTCTGAGAATGTTTCTGTCTGGTTTTTATTTGAAGATATTTCCCTTTCTACTGTTGGCATCAAATGGCTAGAAATCTCCACTTGCAAATTCCGCAAAAAGAGTGTTTCAAATCTGCTCTGTCTAAAGGGACGTTCCACTCTGTGAGTTGAATGCACACAACACAAAGAATTTACTGAGAATTCTTCCGTCTAGCATTCAATGAAGAAATCCCGTTTCCAACGAAGGCCTCAAACAGGTCCATATATCCACTTGCAGACTTTACAAACAGTGTGTTTCCAAACTCCTCTATGAAAAGAAAGGTTAAACTCTGTGAGTGGAACGCACACATCACAAAGCACTTTGCTGAGAATGATTCTGTCTGGTTATTATACGAAGATATTTCCTTTTCTGCAATTGTCCTCAAATCGCTTGAAATCTCCACCTGAAAATGCCACAGCAAGAGTGTTTCAAATCTGCTCTCTCTAAAGCAAGGTTCAACTCTGTGAGTTGAATAAACACAGCACAAAAAAGTTACTGAGAACTCTTCTTAGTCTAGCATGAAAGGAAGAAACCCCGTTTGCAACGAAGGCCTCAAAGAGGTCCAAATATCCACTTGCAGACATAACAAACAGAGTGTTTCTAAACTGCTCTAAGAAAAGAAAGGTTAAACTCTGTGAGTTGAAGGCACACATCACAAAGTAGTTTCTTAGAATGATTCTGTCTAGTTTTTATTTGAAGATATTTCCTTTTCTACTGTTGGCATCAAATCGCTTGAAATCTTCACTTGCAAACCCCACAAAAAGAGTGTTTCAAATCTGCTCTGTGTAAAGGGACGTTCCACTCTGTGAGTTGAATACACACAGCACAAAGAAGTTGCTGAGAGTTCTTCTGTCTAGCATGAAATGAAGAAATCCCGTTTCCAACGAAGGCCTCAATGCGGTCCATATATCCACTTGCAGACTTTACAAACAGAGTGTTTCCAAACTGCTCTATGAAAAGAAAGGTTAAACTATGTGAGTTGAACGCACACATCACAATGAATTTTCTGAGAATGATTCTGCCTGGTTTTTATTTGAAGATATTTCCCTTTCTACTGTTGGCATCAAATGGCTAGAAATCTCCAATTGCAAATTCCGCAAAAAGAGTGTTTCAAATCTGCTCTGTCTAAAGGGACGTTCCACTCTGTGAGTTGAATGCACACAACACAAAGAATTTACTGAGAATTCTTCCGTCTAGCATTCAATGAAGAAATCCCGTTTCCAACGAAGGCCTCAAACAGGTCCATATATCCACTTGCAGACTTTACAAACAGTGTGTTTCCAAACTCCTCTATGAAAAGAAAGGTTAAACTCTGTGAGTGGAACGCACACATCACAAAGCACTTTCTGAGAATGATTCTGTCTGGTTATTATACGAAGATATTTCCTTTTCTGCAATTGTCCTCAAATCGCTTGAAATCTCCACCTGAAAATGCCACAGCAAGAGTGTTTCAAATCTGCTCTCTCTAAAGCAAGGTTCAACTCTGTGAGTTGAATACACGCAACACAAAAAAGTTACTGAGAACTCTTCTTAGTCTAGCATGAAAGGAAGAAACCCCGTTTGCAACGAAGGCCTCAAAGTAGGTCCAAATATCCACTTGCAGACATAACAAGCAGAGTGTTTCTAAACTGCTCTAAGAAAAGAAAGGTTAAACTCTGTGAGTTGAAGGCACACATCACAAAGTAGTTTCTGAGAATGATTCTGTCTAGTTTTTATTTGAAGATATTTCCTTTTCTACTGTTGGCATCAAATCGCTTGAAATCTCCACTTGCAAATTCCACAAAAAGAGTGTTTCAAATCTGCTCTGTGCAAAGGGACGTTCCACTCTGTGAGTTGAATACACACAGCACAAAGAAGTTACTGAGAATTCTTCTGTCTAGCATGAAATGAAGAAATCCCGTTTCCAACGAAGGCCTCAATGCGGTCCATATATCCACTTGCAGACTTTACAAACAGAGTGTTTCCAAACTGCTCTATGAAAAGAAAGGTTAAACTATGTGAGTTGAACGCACACATCACAAAGAATTTTCTGAGAATGATTCTGTCTGGTTTTTATTTGAAGATATTTCCCTTTCTACTGTTGGCATCAAATGGCTAGAAATCTCCACTTGCAAATTCCGCAAAAAGAGTGTTTCAAATCTGCTCTGTCTAAAGGGACGTTCCACTCTGTGAGTTGAATGCACACAACACAAAGAATTTACTGAGAATTCTTCCGTCTAGCATTCAATGAAGAAATCCCGTTTCCAACGAAGGCCTCTAAGAGGTCCATATATCCACTTGCAGACTTTACAAACAGTGTGTTTCCAAACTCCTCTATGAAAAGAAAGGTTAAACTCTGTGAGTGGAACGCACACATCACAAAGCACTTTCTGAGAATGATTCTGTCTGGTTATTATACGAAGATATTTCCTTTTCTGCAATTGTCCTCAAATCGCTTGAAATCTCCACCTGAAAATGCCACAGCAAGAGTGTTTCAAATCTGCTCTCTCTAAAGCAAGGTTCAACTCTGTGAGTTGAATACACACAACACAAAAAAGTTACTGAGAACTCTTCTTAGTCTAGCATGAAAGGAAGAAACCCCGTTTGCAACGAAGGCCTCAAAGAGGTCCAAATATCCACTTGCAGACATAACAAGCAGAGTGTTTCTAAACTGCTCTAAGAAAAGAAAGGTTAAACTCTGTGAGTTGAAGGCACACATCACAAAGTAGTTTCTGAGAATGATTCTGTCTAGTTTTTATTTGAAGATATTTCCTTTTCTACTGTTGGCATCAAATCGCTTGAAATATCCACTTGCAAACTCCACAAAAAGAGTGTTTCAAATCTGCTCTGTGCAAAGGGACGTTCCACTCTGTGAGTTGAATACACACAGCACAAAGAAGTTACTGAGAATTCTTCTGTCTAGCATGAAATGAAGAAATCCCGTTTCCAACGAAGGCCTCAATGCGGTCTATATATCCACTTGCAGACTTCACAAACAGAGTGTTTCCAAACTGCTCTATGAAAAGAAAGGTTAAACTATGTGAGTTGAACGCACACATCACAAAGAATTTTCTGAGAATGATTCTGTCTGGTTTTTATTTGAAGATATTTCCCTTTCTACTGTTGGCATCAAATGGCTAGAAATCTCCACTTGCAAATTCCGCAAAAAGAGTGTTTCAAATCTGCTCTGTCTAAAGGGACGTTCCACTCTGTGAGTTGAATGCACACAACACAAAGAATTTACTGAGAATTCTTCCGCCTAGCATTCAATGAAGAAATCCCGTTTCCAACGAAGGCCTCAAACAGGTCCATATATCCAATTGCAGACTTTACAAACAGTGTGTTTCCAAACTCCTCTATGAAAAGAAAGGTTAAACTCTGTGAATTGAACGCACACATCACAAAGCACTTTCTGAGAATGATTCTGTCTGGTTGTTATACGAAGATATTTCCTTTTCTGCAATTGTCCTCAAATCGCTTGAAATCTCCACCTGAAAATGCCACAGCAAGAGTGTTTCAAATCTGCTCTCTCTAAAGCAAGGTTCAACTCTGTGAGTTGAATACACACAACACAAAAAAGTTACTGAGAACTCTTCTTAGTCTAGCATGAAAGGAAGAAACCCCGTTTGCAACGAAGGCCTCAAAGAGGTCCAAATATCCAGTTGCAGACATAACAAGCAGAGTGTTTCTAAACTGCTCTAAGAAAAGAAAGGTTAAACTCTGTGAGTTGAAGGCACACATCACAAAGTAGTTTCTGAGAATGGTTCTGTCTAGTTTTTATTTGAAGATATTTCCTTTTCTACTGTTGGCATCAAATCGCTTGAAATCTCCACTTGCAAATTCCACAAAAAGAGTGTTTCAAATCTGCTCTGTGCAAACGGACGTTCCAGTCTGTGAGTTGAATACACACAGCACAGAGAAGTTACTGAGAATTCTTCTGTCTAGCATGAAATGAAGAAATCCCGTTTCCAACGAAGGCCTCAATGCGGTCCATATATCCACTTGCAGACTTTACAAACAGAGTGTTTCCAAACTGCTCTATGAAAAGAAAGGTTAAACTATGTGAGTTGAACGCACACATCACAAAGAATTTTCTGAGAATGATTCTGTCTGGTTTTTATTTGAAGATATTTCCCTTTCTACTGTTGGCATCAAATGGCTAGAAATCTCCACTTGCAAATTCCGCAAAAAGAGTGTTTCAAATCTGCTCTGTCTAAAGGGACGTTCCACTCTGTGAGTTGAATGCACACAACACAAAGAATTTACTGAGAATTCTTCCGTCTAGCATGCAATGAAGAAATCCCGTTTCCAACGAAGGCCTCAAACAGGTCCATATATCCAATTGCAGACTTTACAAACAGTGTGTTTCCAAACTCCTCTATGAAAAGAAAGGTTAAACTCTGTGAGTTGAACGCACACATCACAAAGCACTTTCTGAGAATGATTCTGTCTAGTTTTTATTTGAAGATATTTCCCTTTCTACTGTTGGCATCAAATGGCTAGAAATCTCCACTTGCAACTTCCGCAAAAAGAGTGTTTCAAATCTGCTCTGTCTAAAGGGACGTTCCACTGTGTGAGTTGAATGCACACAACACAAAGTATTTACTGAGAATTCTTCTTAGTCTAGCATGAAAGGAAGAAACCCCGTTTGCAACGAAGGCCTCAAAGAGGTCCAAATATCCACTTGCAGACATAACAAGCAGAGTGTTTCTAAACTGCTCTAAGAAAAGAAAGGTTAAACTCTGTGAGTTGAAGGCACACATCACAAAGTAGTTTCTGAGAATGGTTCTGTCTAGTTTTTATTTGAAGATATTTCCTTTTCTACTGTTGGCATCAAATCGCTTGAAATCTCCACTTGCAAACTCCACAAAAAGAGTGTTTCAAATCTGCTCTGTGCAAAGGGACGTTCCACTCTGTGAGTTGAATACACACAGCACAAAGAAGTTACTGAGAATTCTTCTGTCTAGCATGAAATGAAGAAATCCCGTTTCCAACGAAGGCCTCAATGCGGTCCATATATCCACTTGCAGACTTTACAAACAGAGTGTTTCCAAACTGCTCTATGAAAAGAAAGGTTAAACTATGTGAGTTGAACGCACACATCACAAAGAATTTTCTGAGAATGATTCTGTCTGGTTTTTATTTGAAGATATTTCCCTTTCTACTGTTGGCATCAAATGGCTAGAAATCTCCACTTGCAAATTCCGCAAAAAGAGTGTTTCAAATCTGCTCTGTCTAAAGGGACGTTCCACTCTGTGAGTTGAATGCACACAACACAAAGAATTTACTGAGAATTCTTCCGTCTGGCATTCAATGAAGAAATCCCGTTTCCAACGGAAGCCTCAAACAGGTCCATATATCCAATTGCAGACTTTACAAACAGTGTGTTTCCAAGCTCCTCTATGAAAAGAAAGGTTAAACTCTGTGAGTTGAACGCACACATCACAAAGCACTTTCTGAGAATGATTCTGTCTGGTTATTATACGAAGATATTTCCTTTTCTGCAATTGTCCTCAAAACGCTTGAAATCTCCACCTGAAAATGCCACAGCAAGAGTGTTTCAAATCTGCTCTCTCTAAAGCAAGGTTCAACTCTGTGAGTTGAATACACACAACACAAAAAAGTTACTGAGAACTCTTCTTAGTCTAGCATTAAAAGAAGAAACCCCGTTTGCAACGAAGGCCTCAAAGAGGTCCAAATATCCACTTGCAGACATAACAAGCAGAGTGTTTCTAAACTGCTCTAAGAAAAGAAAGGTTAAACTCTGAGTTGAAGGCACACATCACAAAGTAGTTTCTGAGAATGATTCTGTCTAGTTTTTATTTGAAGATATTTCCTTTTCTACTGTTGGCATCAAATCGCTTGAAATCTCCACTTGCAAACTCCACAAAAAGAGTGTTTCAAATCTGCTCTGTGTAAAGGGACGTTCCACTCTGTGAGTTGAATACACACAGCACAAAGAAGTTACTGAGAATTCTTCTGTCAAGCACGAAATGAAGAAATCCCGTTTCCAACGAAGGCCTCAATGCGGTCTATATATCCACTTGCAGACTTTACAAACAGAGTGTTTCCAAACTGCTCTATGAAAAGAAAGGTTAAACTATGTGAGTTGAACGCACACATCACAAAGAATTTTCTGAGAATGATTCTGTCTGGTTTTTATTTGAAGATATTTCCCTTTCTACTGTTGGCATCAAATGGCTAGAAATCTCCACTTGCAAATTCCGCAAAAAGAGTGTTTCAAATCTGCTCTGTCTAAAGGGACGTTCCACTCTGTGAGTTGAATGCACACAACACGAAGAATTTACTGAGAATTCTTCCGTCTAGCATTCAATGAAGAAATCCCGTTTCCAACGAAGGCCTCAAACAGGTCCATATATCCAATTGCAGACTTTACAAACAGTGTGTTTCCAAACTCCTCTATGAAAAGAAAGATTAAACTCTGTGAGTTGAACGCACACATCACAAAGCACTTTCTGAGAATGATTCTGTCTGGTTGTTATACGAAGATATTTCCTTTTCTGCAATTGTCCTCAAATCGCTTGAAATCTCCACCTGAAAATGCCACAGCAAGAGTGTTTCAAATCTGCTCTCTCTAAAGCAAGGTTCAACTCTGTGAGTTGAATACACACAACACAAAAAAGTTACTGAGAACTCTTCTTAGTCTAGCATTAAAGGAAGAAACCCCGTTTGCAACGAAGGCCTCAAAGAGGTCCAAATATCCACTTGCAGACATAACAAGCAGAGTGTTTCTAAACTGCTCTAAGAAAAGAAAGGTTAAACTCTGTGAGTTGAAGGCACACATCACAAAGTAGTTTCTGAGAATGATTCTGTCTAGTTTTTATTTGAAGATATTTCCTTTTCTACTGTTGGCATCAAATCGCTTGAAATCTCCACTTGCAAACTCCATAAAAAGAGTGTTTCAAATCTGCTCTGTGCAAAGGGACGTTCCACTCTGTGAGTTGAATACACACAGCACAAAGAAGTTACTGAGAATTCTTCTGTCTAGCACGAAATGAAGAAATCCCGTTTCCAACGAAGGCCTCAATGCGGTCTATATATCCACTTACAGACTTTACAAACAGAGTGTTTCCAAACTGCTCTATGAAAAGAAAGGTTAAACTATGTGAGTTGAACGCACACATCACAAAGAATTTTCTGAGAATGATTCTGTCTGGTTTTTATTTGAAGATATTTCCCTTTCTACTGTTGGCATCAAATGGCTAGAAATCTCCACTTGCAAATTCCGCAAAAAGAGTGTTTCAAATCTGCTCTGTCTAAAGGGACGTTCCACTCTGTGAGTTGAATGCACACAACACAAAGAATTTACTGAGAATTCTTCCGTCTAGCATTCAATGAAGAAATCCCGTTTCCAACGAAGGCCTCAAACAGGTCCATATATCCACTTGCAGAGTTTACAAACAGTGTGTTTCCAAACTCCTCTATGAAAAGAAAGGTTAAACTCTGTGAGTGGAACGCACACATCACAAAGCACTTTCTGAGAATGATTCTGTCTGGTTATTATACGAAGATATTTCCTTTTCTGCAATTGTCCTCAAATCGCTTGAAATCTCCACCTGAAAATGCCACAGCAAGAGTGTTTCAAATCTGCTCTCTCTAAAGCAAGGTTCAACTCTGTGAGTTGAATACACACAACACAAAAAAGTTACTGAGAACTCTTCTTAGTCTAGCATGAAAGGAAGAAACCCCGTTTGCAACGAAGGCCTCAAAGAGGTCCAAATATCCACTTGCAGACATAACAAGCAGAGTGTTTCTAAACTGCTCTAAGAAAAGAAAGGTTAAACTCTGTGAGTTGAAGGCACACATCACAAAGTAGTTTCTGAGAATGATTCTGTCTAGTTTTTATTTGAAGATATTTCCTTTTCTACTGTTGGCATCAAATCGCTTGAAATCTCCACTTGCAAACTCCACAAAAAGAGTGTTTCAAATCTGCTCTGTGCAAAGGGACGTTCCACTCTGTGAGTTGAATACACACAGCACAAAGAAGTTACTGAGAATTCTTCTGTCTAGCATGAAATGAAGAAATCCCGTTTCCAACGAAGGCCTCAATGCGGTCCATATATCCACTTGCAGACTTTACAAACAGAGTGTTTCCAAACTGCTCTATGAAAAGAAAGGTTAAACTATGTGAGTTGAACGCACACATCACAAAGAATTTTCTGAGAATGATTCTGTCTGGTTTTTATTTGAAGATATTTCCCTTTCTACTGTTGGCATCAAATGGCTAGAAATCTCCACTTGCAAATTCCGCAAAAAGAGTGTTTCAAATCTGCTCTGTCTAAAGGGACGTTCCACTCTGTGAGTTGAATGCACACAACACAAAGAATTTACTGAGAATTCTTCTGTCTAGCAGTCAATGAAGAAATCCCGTTTCCAACGAAGGACTCAAACAGGTCCATATATCCAATTGCAGACTTTACAAACAGTGTGTTTCCAAACTCCTCTATGAAAAGAAAGGTTAAACTCTGTGAGTTGAACCCACACATCACAAAGCACTTTCTGAGAATGATTCTGTCTGGTTGTTATACGAAGATATTTCCTTTTCTGCAATTGTCCTCAAATCGCTTGAAATCTCCACCTGAAAATGCCACAGCAAGAGTGTTTCAAATCTGCTCTCTCTAAAGCATGGTTCAACTCTGTGAGTTGAATACACACAACACAAAAAAGTTACTGAGAACTCTTCTTAGTCTAGCATGAAAGGAAGAAACCCCGTTTGCAACGAAGGCCTCAAAGAGGTCCAAATATCCACTTGCAGACATAACAAGCAGAGTGTTTCTAAACTGCTCTAAGAAAAGAAAGGTTAAACTCTGTGAGTTGAAGGCAGACATCACAAAGTAGTTTCTGAGAATGATTCTGTCTAGTTTTTATTTGAAGATATTTCCTTTTCTACTGTTGGCATCAAATCGCTTGAAATCTCCACTTGCAAACTCCACAAAAAGAGTGTTTCAAATCTGCTCTGTGCAAAGGGACGTTCCACTCTGTGAGTTGAGTACACACAGCACAAAGAAGTTACTGAGAATTCTTCTGTCTAGCATGAAATGAAGAAATCCCGTTTCCAACGAAGGCCTCAATGCGGTCCATATATCCACTTGCAGACTTTACAAACAGAGTGTTTCCAAACAGCTCTATGAAAAGAAAGGTTAAACTATGTGAGTTGAACGCACACATCACAAAGAATTTTCTGAGAATGATTCTGTCTGGTTTTTATTTGAAGATATTTCCCTTTCTACTGTTGGCATCAAATGGCTAGAAATCTCCACTTGCAAATTCCGCAAAAAGAGTGTTTCAAATCTGCTCTGTCTAAAGGAACGTTCCACTCTGTGAGTTGAATGCACACAACACAAAGAATTTACTGAGAATTCTTCCGCCTAGCATTCAATGAAGAAATCCCGTTTCCAACGAAGGCCTCAAACAGCTCCATATATCCAATTGCAGACTTTACAAACAGTGTGTTTCCAAACTCCTCTATGAAAAGAAAGGTTAAACTCTGTGAGTTGAACGCACACATCACAAAGCACTTTCTGAGAATGATTCTGTCTGGTTATTATACGAAGATATTTCCTTTTCTGCAATTGTCCTCAAATCGCTTGAAATCTCCACCTGAAAATGCCACAGCAAGAGTGTTTCAAATCTGCTCTCTCTAAAGCAAGGTTCAACTCTGTGAGTTGAATACACACAACACAAAAAAGTTACTGAGAACTCTTCTTAGTCTAGCATGAAAGGAAGAAACCCCGTTTGCAACGAAGGCCTCAAAGAGGTCCAAATATCCACTTGCAGACATAACAAGCAGAGTGTTTCTAAACTGCTCTAAGAAAAGAAAGGTTAAACTCTGTGAGTTGAAGGCACACATCACAAAGTAGTTTCTGAGAATGATTCTGTCTAGTTTTTATTTGAAGATATTTCCTTTTCTACTGTTGGCATCAAATCGCTTGAAATCTCCACTTGCAAACTCTACAAAAAGAGTGTTTCAAATCTGCTCTGTGTAAAGGGATGTTCCACTCTGTGAGTTGAATACACACAGCACAAAGAAGTTACTGAGAATTCTTCTGTCTAGCATGAAATGAAGAAATCCCGTTTCCAACGAAGGCCTCAATGCGGTCCATATATCCACTTGCAGACTTTACAAACAGAGTGTTTCCAAACTGCTCTATGAAAAGAAAGGTTAAACTATGTGAGTTGAACGCACACATCACAAAGAATTTTCTGAGAATGATTCTGTCTGGTTTTTATTTGAAGATATTTCCCTTTCTACTGTTGGCATCAAATGGCTAGAAATCTCCACTTGCAAATTCCGCAAAAAGAGTGTTTCAAATCTGCTCTGTCTAAAGGGACGTTCCACTCTGTGAGTTGAATGCACACAACACAAAGAATTTACTGAGAATTCTTCCGTCTAGCATTCAATGAAGAAATCCCGTTTCCAACGAAGGCCTCAAACAGGTCCATATATCCACTTGCAGACTTTACAAACAGTGTGTTTCCAAACTCCTCTATGAAAAGAAAGGTTAAACTCTGTGAGTGGAACGCACACATCACAAAGCACTTTCTGAGAATGATTCTGTCTGGTTATTATACGAAGATATTTCCTTTTCTGCAATTGTCCTCAAATCGCTTGAAATCTCCACCTGAAAATGCCACAGCAAGAGTGTTTCAAATCTGCTCTCTCTAAAGCAAGGTTCATCTCTGTGAGTTGAATACACACAACACAAAAAAGTTACTGAGAACTCTTCTTAGTCTAGCATGAAAGGAAGAAACCCCGTTTGCAACGAAGGCCTCAAAGAGGTCCAAATATCCACTTGCAGACATAACAAGCAGAGTGTTTCTAAACTGCTCTAAGAAAAGAAAGGTAAAACTCTGTGAGTTGAAGGCACACATCACAAAGTAGTTTCTGAGAATGATTCTGTCTAGTTTTTATTTGAAGATATTTCCTTTTCTACTGTTGGCATCAAATCGCTTGAAATCTCCACTTGCAAACTCCACAAAAAGAGTGTTTCAAATCTGCTCTGTGCAAAGGGACGTTCCACTCTGTGAGTTGAATACACACAGCACAAAGAAGTTACTGAGAATTCTTCTGTCTAGCATGAAATGAAGAAATCCCGTTTCCAACGAAGGCCTCAATGCGGTCCATATATCCACTTGCAGACTTTACAAACAGAGTGTTTCCAAACTGCTCTATGAAAAGAAAGGTTAAACTATGTGAGTTGAACGCACACATCACAAAGAATTTTCTGAGAATGATTCTGTCTGGTTTTTATTTGAAGATATTTCCCTTTCTACTGTTGGCATCAAATGGCTAGAAATCTCCACTTGCAAATTCCGCAAAAAGAGTGTTTCAATTCTGCTCTGTCTAAAGGGACGTTCCACTCTGTGAGTTGAATGCACACAACACAAAGAATTTACTGAGAATTCTTCCGTCTAGCATTCAATGAAGAAATCCCGTTTCCAACGAAGGCCTCAAACAGGTCCATATATCCAATTGCAGACTTTACAAACAGTGTGTTTCCAAACTCCTCTATGAAAAGAAAGGTTAAACTCTGTGAGTGGAACGCACACATCACAAAGCACTTTCTGAGAATGATTCTGTCTGGTTATTATACGAAGATATTTCCTTTTCTGCAATTGTCCTCAAATCGCTTGAAATCTCCACCTGAAAATGCCACAGCAAGAGTGTTTCAAATCTGCTCTCTCTAAAGCAAGGTTCAACTCTGTGAGTTGAATACACACAACACAAAAAAGTTACTGAGAACTCTTCTTAGTCTAGCATTAAAGGAAGAAACCCCGTTTGCAACGAAGGCCTCAAAGAGGTCCAAATATCAACTTGCAGACATAACAAGCAGAGTGTTTCTAAGCTGCTCTCAGAAAAGAAAGGTTAAACTCGGTGAGTTGAAGGCACACATCACAAAGTAGTTTCTGAGAATGATTCTGTCTAGTTTTTATTTGAAGATATTTCCTTTTCTACTGTTGGCATCAAATCGCTTGAAATCTCCACTTGCAAACTCCACAAAAAGAGTGTTTCAAATCTGCTCTGTGCAAAGGGACGTTCCACTCTGTGAGTTGAATACACACAGCACAAAGAAGTTACTGAGAATTCTTCTGTCTAGCATGAAATGAAGAAATCCCTTTTCCAACGAAGGCCTCAATGCGGTCCATATATCCACTTGCAGACTTTACAAACAGAGTGTTTCCAAACTGCTCTATGAAAAGAAAGGTTAAACTATGTGAGTTGAAAGCACACATCACAAAGAATTTTCTGAGAATGATTCTGTCTGGTTTTTATTTGAAGATATTTCCCTTTCTACTGTTGGCATCAAATGGCTAGAAATCTCCACTTGCAAATTCCGCAAAAAGAGTGTTTCAAATCTGCTCTGTCTAAAGGGACGTTCCACTCTGTGAGTTGAATGCACACCACACAAAGAATTTACTGAGAATTCTTCCGTCTAGCATTCAATGAAGAAATCCCGTTTCCAACGAAGGCCTCAAACAGGTCCATATATCCAATTGCAGACTTTACAAACAGTGTGTTTCCAAACTCCTCTATCAAAAGAAAGGTTAAACTCTGTGAGTTGAACGCACACATCACAAAGCACTTTCTGAGAATGATTCTGTCTGGTTGTTATACGAAGATATTTCCTTTTCTGCAATTGTCCTCAAATCGCTTGAAATCTCCACCTGAAAATGCCACAGCAAGAGTGTTTCAAATCTGCTCTCTCTAAAGCAAGGTTCAACTCTGTGAGTTGAATACACACAACACAAAAAAGTTACTGAGAACTCTTCTTAGTCTAGCATGAAAGGAAGAAACCCCGTTTGCAACGAAGGCCTCAAAGAGGTCCAAATATCCACTTGCAGACATAACAAGCAGAGTGTTTCTAAACTGCTCTAAGAAAAGAAAGGTTAAACTCTGTGAGTTGAAGGCACACATCACAAAGTAGTTTCTGAGAATGATTCTGTCTAGTTTTTATTTGAAGATATTTCCTTTTCTACTGTTGGCATCAAATCGCTTGAAATCTCCACTTGCAAACTCCACAAAAAGAGTGTTTCAAATCTGCTCTGTGTAAAGGGACGTTCCACTCTATGAGTTGAATACACACAGCACAAAGAAGTTACTGAGAATTCTTCTGTCTAGCATGAAATGAAGAAATCCCGTTTCCAACGAAGGCCTCAATGCGGTCCATATATCCACTTGCAGACTTTACAAACAGAGTGTTTCCAAACTGCTCTATGAAAAGAAAGGTTAAACTATGTGAGTTGAACGCACACATCACAAAGAATTTTCTGAGAATGATTCTGTCTGGTTTTTATTTGAAGATATTTCCCTTTCTACTGTTGGCATCAAATGGCTAGAAATCTCCACTTGCAAATTCCGCAAAAAGAGTGTTTCAAATCTGCTCTGTCTAAAGGGACGTTCCACTCTGTGAGTTGAATGCACACAACACAAAGAATTTACTGAGAATTCTTCCGTCTAGCATTCAATGAAGAAATCCCGTTTCCAACGAAGGCCTCAAACAGGTCCATATATCCACTTGCAGACTTTACAAACAGTGTGTTTCCAAACTCCTCTATGGAAAGAAAAGTTAAACTCTGTGAGTTGAACGCACACATCACAAAGCACTTTCTGAGAATGATTCTGTCTGGTTATTATACGAAGATATTTCCTTTTCTGCAATTGTCCTCAAATCGCTTGAAATCTCCACCTGAAAATGCCACAGCAAGAGTGTTTCAAATCTGCTCTCTCTAAAGCAAGGTTCAACTCTGTGAGTTGAATACACACAACACAAAAAAGTTACTGAGAACTCTTCTTAGTCTAGCATGAAAGGAAGAAACCCCGTTTGCAACGAAGGCCTCAAAGAGGTCCAAATATCCACTTGCAGACATAACAAGCAGAGTGTTTCTAAAGTGCTCTAAGAAAAGAAAGGTTAAACTCTGTGAGTTGAAGGCACACATCACAAAGTAGTTTCTGAGAATGATTCTGTCTAGTTTTTATTTGAAGATATTTCCTTTTCTACTGTTGGCATCAAATCGCTTGAAATCTCCACTTGCAAACTCCACAAAAAGAGTGTTTCAAATCTGCTCTGTGCAAAGGGACGTTCCACTCTGTGAGTTGAATACACACAGCACAAAGAAGTTACTGAGAATTCTTCTGTCTAGCATGAAATGAAGAAATCCCGTTTCCAACGAAGGCCTCAATGCGGTCCATATATCCACTTGCAGACTTTACAAACAGAGTGTTTCCAAACTGCTCTATGAAAAGAAAGGTTAAACTATGTGAGTTGAACGCACACATCACAAAGAATTTTCTGAGAATGATTCTGTCTGGTTTTTATTTGAAGATATTTCCCTTTCTACTGTTGGCATCAAATGGCTAGAAATCTCTACTTGCAAATTCCGCAAAAAGAGTGTTTAAAATCTGCTCTGTCTAAAGGGACGTTCCACTCTGTGAGTTGAATGCACACAACACAAAGAATTTACTGAGAATTCTTCCGTCTAGCATTCAATGAAGAAATCCCGTTTCCAACGAAGGCCACAAACAGGTCCATATATCCACTTGCAGAGTTTACAAACAGTGTGTTTCCAAACTCCTCTATGAAAAGAAAGGTTAAACTCTGTGAGTGGAACGCACACATCACAAAGCACTTTCTGAGAATGATTCTGTCTGGTTATTATACGAAGATATTTCCTTTTCTGCAATTGTCCTCAAATCGCTTGAAATCTCCACCTGAAAATGCCACAGCAAGAGTGTTTCAAATCTGCTCTCTCTAAAGCAAGGTTCAACTCTGTGAGTTGAATACACGCAACACAAAAAAGTTACTGAGAACTCTTCTTAGTCTAGCATGAAAGGAAGAAACCCCGTTTGCAACGAAGGCCTCAAAGTAGGTCCAAATATCCACTTGCAGACATAACAAGCAGAGTGTTTCTAAACTGCTCTAAGAAAAGAAAGGTTAAACTCTGTGAGTTGAAGGCACACATCACAAAGTAGTTTCTGAGAATGATTCTGTCTAGTTTTTATTTGAAGATATTTCCTTTTCTACTGTTGGCATCAAATCGCTTGAAATCTCCACTTGCAAACTCCACAAAAAGAGTGTTTCAAATCTGCTCTGTGTAAAGGGACGTTCCACTCTGTGAGTTGAATACACACAGCACAAAGAAGTTACTGAGAATTCTTCTGTCTAGCATGAAATGAAGAAATCCCGTTTCCAATGAAGGCCTCAATGCGGTCCATATATCCACTTGCAGACTTTACCAACAGAGTGTTTCCAAACTGCTCTATGAAAAGAAAGGTTAAACTATGTGAGTTGAACGCACACATCACAAAGAATTTTCTGAGAATGATTCTGTCTGGTTTTTATTTGAAGATATTTCCCTTTCTACTGTTGGCATCAAATGGCTAGAAATCTCCACTTGCAAATTCCGCAAAAAGAGTGTTTCAAATCTGCTCTGTCTAAAGGGACGTTCCACTCTGTGAGTTGAATGCACACAACACAAAGAATTTACTGAGAATTCTTCCGTCTAGCATTCAATGAAGAAATCCCGTTTCCAACGAAGGCCTCAAACAGGTCCATATATCCACTTGCAGACTTTACAAACAGTGTGTTTCCAAACTCCTCTATGAAAAGAAAGGTTAAACTCTGTGAGTGGAACGCACACATCACAAAGCACTTTCTGAGAATGATTCTGTCTGGTTATTATACGAAGATATTTCCTTTTCTGCAATTGTCCTCAAAACGCTTGAAATCTCCACCTGAAAATGCCACAGCAAGAGTGTTTCAAATCTGCTCTCTCTAAAGCAAGGTTCAACTCTGTGAGTTGAATACACACAACACAAAAAAGTTACTGAGAACTCTTCTTAGTCTAGCATGAAAGGAAGAAACCCCGTTTGCAACGAAGGCCTCAAAGAGGTCCAAATATCCACTTGCAGACATAACAAGCAGAGTGTTTCTAAACTGCTCTAAGAAAAGAAAGGTTAAACTCTGTGAGTTGAAGGCACACATCACAAAGTAGTTTCTGAGAATGATTCTGTCTAGTTTTTATTTGAAGATATTTCCTTTTCTACTGTTGGCATCAAATCGCTTGAAATCTCCACTTGCAAACTCCACAAAAAGAGTGTTTCAAATCTGCTCTGTGTAAAGGGACGTTCCAGTCTGTGAGTTGAATACACACAGCACAAAGAAGTTACTGAGTATTCTTCTGTCTAGCATGAAATGAAGAAATCCCGTTTCCAACGAAGGCCTCAATGCGGTCCATATATCCACTTGCAGACTTTACAAACAGAGTGTTTCCAAACTGCTCTATGAAAAGAAAGGTTAAACTATGTGAGTTGAACGCACACATCACAAAGAATTTTCTGAGAATGATTCTGTCTGGTTTTTATTTGAAGATATTTCCCTTTCTACTGTTGGCATCAAATGGCTAGAAATCTCCACTTGCAAATTCCGCAAAAAGAGTGTTTCAAATCTGCTCTGTCTAAAGGGACGTTCCACTCTGTGAGTTGAATGCACACAACACAAAGAATTTACTGAGAATTCTTCCGTCTAGCATTCAATGAAGAAATCCCGTTTCCAACGGAGGCCTCAAACAGGTCCATATATCCAATTGCAGACTTTACAAACAGTGTGTTTCAAAGCTCCTCTATGAAAAGAAAGGTTAAACTCTGTGAGTTGAACGCACACATCACAAAGCACTTTCTGAGAATGATTCTGTCTGGTTATTACACGAAGATATTTCCTTTTCTGCAATTGTCCTCAAATCGCTTGAAATCTCCACCTGAAAATTCCACAGCAAGAGTGTTTCAAATCTGCTCTCTCTAAAGCAAGGTTCAACTCTGTGAGTTGAATACACACAACACAAAAAAGTTACTGAGAACTCTTCTTAGTCTAGCATTAAAGGAAGAAACCCCGTTTGCAACGAAGGCCTCAAAGAGGTCCAAATATCCACTTGCAGACATAACAAGCAGAGTGTTTCTAAACTGCTCTAAGAAAAGAAAGGTTAAACTCTGTGAGTTGAAGGCACACATCACAAAGTAGTTTCTGAGAATGATTCTGTCTAGTTTTTATTTGAAGATATTTCCTTTTCTACTGTTGGCATCAAATCGCTTGAAATCTCCACTTGCAAATTCCACAAAAAGAGTGTTTCAAATCTGCTCTGTGTAAAGGGACGTTCCACTCTGTGAGTTGAATACACACAGCACAAAGAAGTTACTGAGAATTCTTCTGTCTAGCATGAAATGAAGAAATCCCGTTTCCAACGAAGGCCTCAATGCGGTCCATATATCCACTTGCAGACTTTACAAACAGAGTGTTTCCAAACTGCTCTATGAAAAGAAAGGTTAAACTATGTGAGTTGAACGCACACATCCCAAAGAATTTTCTGAGAATGATTCTGTCTGGTTTTTATTTGAAGATATTTCCCTTTCTACTGTTGGCATCAAATGGCTAGAAATCTCCACTTGCAAATTCCGCAAAAAGAGTGTTTCAAATCTGCTCTGTCTAAAGGGACGTTCCACTCTGTGAGTTGAATGCACACAACACAAAGAATTTACTGAGAATTCTTCCGTCTAGCATGCAATGAAGAAATCCCGTTTCCAACGAAGGCCTCAAACAGGTCCATATATCCAATTGCAGACTTTACAAACAGTGTGTTTCCAAACTCCTCTATGAAAAGAAAGGTTAAACTCTGTGAGTTGAACGCACACATCACAAAGCACTTTCTGAGAATGATTCTGTCTGGTTGTTATACGAAGATATTTCCTTTTCTGCAATTGTCCTCAAATCGCTTGAAATCTCCACCTGAAAATACCACAGCAAGAGTGTTTCAAATCTGCTCTCTCTAAAGCAAGGTTCAACTCTGTGAGTTGAATACACACAACACAAAAAAGTTACTGAGAACTCTTCTTAGTCTAGCATGAAAGGAAGAAACCCCGTTTGCAACGAAGGCCTCAAAGAGGTCCAAATATCCACTTGCAGACATAACAAGCAGAGTGTTTCTAAACTGCTCTAAGAAAAGAAAGGTTAAACTCTGTGAGTTGAAGGCACACATCACAAAGTAGTTTCTGAGAATGATTCTGTCTAGTTTTTATTTGAAGATATTTCCTTTTCTACTGTTGGCATCAAATCGCTTGAAATCTCCACTTGCAAATTCCACAAAAAGAGTGTTTCAAATCTGCTCTGTGCAAAGGGACGTTCCACTCTGTGAGTTGAATACACACAGCACAAAGAAGTTACTGAGAATTCTTCTGTCTAGCATGAAATGAAGAAATCCCGTTTCCAACGAAGGCCTCAATGCGGTCCATATATCCACTTGCAGACTTTACAAACAGAGTGTTTCCAAACTGCTCTATGAAAAGAAAGGTTAAACTATGTGAGTTGAACGCACACATCACAAAGAATTTTCTGAGAATGATTCTGTCTGGTTTTTATTTGAAGATATTTCCCTTTCTACTGTTGGCATCAAATGGCTAGAAATCTCCACTTGCAAATTCCGCAAAAAGAGTGTTTCAAATCTGCTCTGTCTAAAGGGACGTTCCACTCTGTGAGTTGAATGCACACAACACAAAGAATTTACTGAGAATTCTTCCGTCTAGCATGCAATGAAGAAATCCCGTTTCCAACGAAGGCCTCAAACAGGTCCATATATCCAATTGCAGACTTTACAAACAGTGTGTTTCCAAACTCCTCTATGAAAAGAAAGGTTAAACTCTGTGAGTTGAACGCACACATCACAAAGCACTTTCTGAGAATGATTCTGTCTGGTTATTATACGAAGATATTTCCTTTTCTGCAATTGTCCTCAAAACGCTTGAAATCTCCACCTGAAAATGCCACAGCAAGAGTGTTTCAAATCTGCTCTCTCTAAAGCAAGGTTCAACTCTGTGAGTTGAATACACACAACACAAAAAAGTTACTGAGAACTCTTCTTAGTCTAGCATGAAAGGAAGAAACCCCGTTTGCAACGAAGGCCTCAAAGAGGTCCAAATATCCACTTGCAGACATAACAAGCAGAGTGTTTCTAAACTGCTCTAAGAAAAGAAAGGTTAAACTCTGTGAGTTGAAGGCAGACATCACAAAGTAGTTTCTGAGAATGATTCTGTCTAGTTTTTATTTGAAGATATTTCCTTTTCTACTGTTGGCATCAAATCGCTTGAAATCTCCACTTGCAAACTCCACAAAAAGAGTGTTTCAAATCTGCTCTGTGCAAAGGGACGTTCCACTCTGTGAGTTGAGTACACACAGCACAAAGAAGTTACTGAGAATTCTTCTGTCTAGCATGAAATGAAGAAATCCCGTTTCCAACGAAGGCCTCAATGCGGTCCATATATCCACTTGCAGACTTCACAAACAGAGTGTTTCCAAACTGCTCTATGAAAAGAAAGGTTTAACTATGTGAGTTGAACGCACACATCACAAAGAATTTTCTGAGAATGATTCTGTCTGGTTTTTATTTGAAGATATTTCCCTTTCTACTGTTGGCATCAAATGGCTAGAAATCTCCACTTGCAAATTCCGCAAAAAGAGTGTTTCAAATCTGCTCTGTCTAAAGAGACGTTCCACTCTGTCAGTTGAATGCACACAACACAAAGAATTTACTGAGAATTCTTCCGTCTAGCATGCAATGAAGAAATCCCGTTTCCAACGAAGGCCTCAAACAGGTCCATATATCCAATTGCAGACTTTACAAACAGTGTGTTTCCAAACTCCTCTATGAAAAGAAAGGTTAAACTCTGTGAGTTGAACGCACACATCACAAAGCACTTTCTGAGAATGATTCTGTCTGGTTATTATACGAAGATATTTCCTTTTCTGCAATTGTCCTCAAATCGCTTGAAATCTCCACCTGAAAATGCCACAGCAAGAGTGTTTCAAATCTGCTCTCTCTAAAGCAAGGTTCAACTCTGTGAGTTGAATACACACAACACAAAAAAGTTACTGAGAACTCTTCTTAGTCTAGCATGAAAGGAAGAAACCCCGTTTGCAACGAAGGCCTCAAAGAGGTCCAAATATCCACTTGCAGACATAACAAGCAGAGTGTTTCTAAACTGCTCTAAGAAAAGAAAGGTTAAACTCTGTGAGTTGAAGGCACACATCACAAAGTAGTTTTTGAGAATGATTCTGTCTAGTTTTTATTTGAAGATATTTCCTTTTCTACTGTTGGCATCAAATCGCTTGAAATCTCCACTTGCAAACTCCACAAAAAGAGTGTTTCAAATCCGCTCTGTGCAAAGGGACGTTCCACTCTGTGAGTTGAATACACACAGCACAAAGAAGTTACTGAGAATTCTTCTGTCTAGCATGAAATGAAGAAATCCCGTTTCCAACGAAGGCCTCAATGCGGTCCATATATCCACTTGCAGACTTTACAAACAGAGTGTTTCCAAACTGCTCTATGAAAAGAAAGGTTAAACTATGTGAGTTGAACGCACACATCACAAAGAATTTTCTGAGAATGATTCTGTCTGGTTTTTATTTGAAGATATTTCCCTTTCTACTGTTGGCATCAAATGGCTAGAAATCTCCACTTGCAAATTCCGCAAAAAGAGTGTTTCAAATCTGCTCTGTCTAAAGGGACGTTCCACTCTGTGAGTTGAATGCACACAACACAAAGAATTTACTGAGAATTCTTCCGTCTAGCATTCAATGAAGAAATCCCGTTTCCAACGAAGGCCTCAAACAGGTCCATATATCCAATTGCAGACTTTACAAACAGTGTGTTTCCAAACTCCTCTATGAAAAGAAAGGTTAAACTCTGTGAGTTGAACGCACACATCACAAAGCACTTTCTGAGAATGATTCTGTCTGGTTATTATACGAAGATATTTCCTTTTCTGCAATTGTCCTCAAATCGCTTGAAATCTCCACCTGAAAATGCCACAGCAAGAGTGTTTCAAATCTGCTCTCTCTAAAGCAAGGTTCAACTCTGTGAGTTGAATACACACAACACAAAAAAGTTACTGAGAACTCTTCTTAGTCTAGCATGAAAGGAAGAAACCCCGTTTGCAACGAAGGCCTCAAAGAGGTCCAAATATCCACTTGCAGACTTTACAAACAGAGTGTTTCCAAACTGCTCTATGAAAAGAAAGGTTAAACTCTGTGAGTTAAAGGCACACATCACAAAGTAGTTTCTGAGAATGATTCTGTCTAGTTTTTATTTGAAGATATTTCCTTTTCTACTGTTGGCATCAAATCGCTTGAAATCTCCACTAGCAAACTCCACAAAAAGAGTGTTTCAAATCTGCTCTGTGCAAAGGGACGTTCCACTCTGTGAGTTGAATACACACAGCACAAAGAAGTTACTGAGAATTCTTCTGTCTAGCATTCAATGAAGAAATCCCGTTTCCAACGAAGGCCTCAAACAGGTTCATATATCCAATTGCAGACATTACAAACAGTGTGTTTCCAAGCTCCTCTATGAAAAGAAAGGTTAAACTCTGTGAGTTGAACGCACACATCACAACGCACTTTCTGAGAATGATTCTGTCTGGTTATTATACGAAGATATTTCCTTTTCTGCAATTGTCCTCAAATCGCTTGAAATCTCCACCTGAAAATGCCACAGCAAGAGTGTTTCAAATCTGCTCTCTCTAAAGCAAGGTTCAACTCTGTGAGTTGAATACACACAACACAAAAAAGTTACTGAGAACTCTTCTTAGTCTAGCATTAAAGGAAGAAACCCCGTTTGCAACGAAGGCCTCAAAGAGGTCCAAATATCCACTTGCAGACATAACAAGCAGAGTGTTTCTAAGCTGCTCTAAGAAAAGAAAGGTTAAACTCTGTGAGTTGAAGGCACACATCACAAAGTAGTTTCTGAGAATGATTCTGTCTAGTTTTTATTTGAAGATATTTCCTTTTCTACTGTTGGCATCAAATCGCTTGAAATCTCCACTTGCAAACTCCACAAAAAGAGTGTTTCAAATCTGCTCTGTGCAAAGGGACGTTCCACTCTGTGAGTTGAATACACACAGCACAAAGAAGTTACTGAGAATTCTTCTGTCTAGTATGAAATGAAGAAATCCCGTTTCCAACGAAGGCCTCAATGCGGTCCATATATCCACTTGCAGACTTTACAAACAGAGTGTTTCCAAACTGCTCTATGAAAAGAAAGGTTAAACTATGTGAGTTGAACGCACACATCACAAAGAATTTTCTGAGAATGATTCTGTCTGGTTTTTATTTGAAGATATTTCCCTTTCTACTGTTGGCATCAAATGGCTAGAAATATCCACTTGCAAATTCCGCAAAAAGAGTGTTTCAAATCTGCTCTGTCTAAAGGGACGTTCCACTCTGTGAGTTGAATGCACACAACACAAAGAATTTACTGAGAATCCTTCCGTCTAGCATTCAATGAAGAAATCCCGTTTCCAACGAAGGCCTCAAACAGGTCCATATATCCAATTGCAGACTTTACAAACAGTGTGTTTCCAAACTCCTCTATGAAAAGAAAGGTTAAACTCTGTGAGTTGAACGCACACATCACAAAGCACTTTCTGAGAATGATTCTGTCTGGTTGTTATACGAAGATATTTCCTTTTCTGCAATTGTCCTCAAATCGCTTGAAATCTCCACCTGAAAATGCCACAGCAAGAGTGTTTCAAATCTGCTCTCTCTAAAGCAAGGTTCTACTCTGTGAGTTGAATACACACAACACAAAAAAGTTACTGAGAACTCTTCTTAGTCTAGCATGAAAGGAAGAAACCCCGTTTGCAACGAAGGCCTCAAAGAGGTCCAAATATCCACTTGCAGACATAACAAGCAGAGTGTTTCTAAACTGCTCTAAGAAAAGAAAGGTTAAACTCTGTGAGTTGAAGGCACACATCACAAAGTAGTTTCTCAGAATGATTCTGTCTAGTTTTTATTTGAAGATATTTCCTTTTCTACTGTTGGCATCAAATCGCTTGAAATCTCCACTTGCAAACTCCACAAAAAGAGTGTTTCAAATCTGCTCTGTGTAAAGGGACGTTCCACTCTGTGAGTTGAATACACACAGCACAAAGAAGTTACTGAGAATTCTTCTGTCTAGCATGAAATGAAGAAATCCCGTTTCCAACGAAGGCCTCAATGCGGTCCATATATCCACTTGCAGACTTTACAAACAGAGTGTTTCCAAACTGCTCTATGAAAAGAAAGGTTAAACTATGTGAGTTGAAAGCACACATCACAAAGAATTTTCTGAGAATGATTCTGTCTGGTTTTTATTTGAAGATATTTCCCTTTCTACTGTTGGCATCAAATGGCTAGAAATCTCCACTTGCAAATTCCGCAAAAAGAGTGTTTCAAATCTGCTCTGTCTAAAGGGACGTTCCACTCTGTGAGTTGAATGCACACAACACAAAGAATTTACTGAGAATTCTTCCGTCTAGCATTCAATGAAGAAATCCCGTTTCCAACGTAGGCCTCAAACAGGTCCATATATCCAATTGCAGACTTTACAAACAGTGTGTTTCCAAACTCCTCTATGAAAAGAAAGGTTAAACTCTGTGAGTTGAACGCACACATCACAAAGCACTTTCTGAGAATGATTCTGTCTGGTTATTATACGAAGATATTTCCTTTTCTGCAATTGTCCTCAAATCGCTTGAAATCTCCACCTGAAAATTCCACAGCGAGAGTGTTTCAAATCTGCTCTCTCTAAAGCAAGGTTCAACTCTGTGAGTTGAATACACACAACACAAAAAAGTTACTGAGAACTCTTCTTAGTCTAGCATTAAAGGAAGAAACCCCGTTTGCAACGAAGGCCTCAAAGAGGTCCAAATATCAACTTGCAGACATAACAAGCAGAGTGTTTCTAAGCTGCTCTCAGAAAAGAAAGGTTAAACTCGGTGAGTTGAAGGCACACATCACAAAGTAGTTTCTGAGAATGATTCTGTCTAGTTTTTATTTGAAGATATTTCCTTTTCTACTGTTGGCATCAAATCGCTTGAAATCTCCACTTGCAAACTCCACAAAAAGAGTGTTTCAAATCTGCTCTGTGCAAAGGGACGTTCCACTCTGTGAGTTGAATACACACAGCACAAAGAAGTTACTGAGAATTCTTCTGTCTAGCATGAAATGAAGAAATCCCGTTTCCAACGAAGGCCTCAATGCGGTCCATATATCCACTTGCAGACTTTACAAACAGAGTGTTTCCAAACTGCTCCATGAAAAGAAAGGTTAAACTATGTGAGTTGAACGCACACATCACAAAGAATTTTCTGAGAATGATTCTGTCTGGTTTTTATTTGAAGATATTTCCCTTTCTACTGTTGGCATCAAATGGCTAGAAATCTCCACTTGCAAATTCCGCAAAAAGAGTGTTTCAAATCTGCTCTGTCTAAAGGGACGTTCCACTCTGTGAGTTGAATGCACACAACACAAAGAATTTACTGAGAATTCTTCCGTCTAGCATTCAATGAAGAAATCCCTTTTCCAACGAAGGCCTTAAACAGGTCCATGTATCCAATTGCAGACTTTACAAACAGTGTGTTTCCAAACTCCTCTATGAAAAGAAAGCTTAAACTCTGTGAGTGGAACGCACACATCACAAAGCACTTTCTGAGAATGATTCTGTCTGGTTATTATACGAAGATATTTCCTTTTCTGCAATTGTCCTCAAATCGCTTGAAATCTCCACCTGAAAATTCCACAGCGAGAGTGTTTCAAATCTGCTCTCTCTAAAGCAAGGTTCAACTCTGTGAGTTGAATACACACAACACAAAAAAGTTACTGAGAACTCTTCTTAGTCTAGCATGAAAGGAAGAAACCCCGTTTGCAACGAAGGCCTCAAAGAGGTCCAAATATCCACTTGCAGACATAACAAGCAGAGTGTTTCTAAACTGCTCTAAGAAAAGAAAGGTTAAACTCTGTGAGTTGAAGGCACACATCACAAAGTAGTTTCTGAGAATGATTCTGTCTAGTTTTTACTTGAAGATATTTCCTTTTCTACTGTTGGCATCAAATCGCTTGAAATCTCCACTTGCAAACTCCACAAAAAGAGTGTTTCAAATCTGCTCTGTGTAAAGGGACGTTCCACTCTGTGAGTTGAATACACACAGCACAAAGAAGTTACTGAGAATTCTTCTGTCTAGCATGAAATGAAGAAATCCCGTTTCCAACGAAGGCCTCAATGCGGTCCATATATCCACTTGCAGACTTTACAAACAGAGTGTTTCCAAACTGCTCTATGAAAAGAAAGGTTAAACTATGTGAGTTGAACGCACACATCACAAAGAATTTTCTGAGAATGATTCTGTCTGGTTTTTATTTGAAGATATTTCCCTTTCTACTGTTGGCATCAAATGGCTAGAAATCTCCACTTGCAAATTCCGCAAAAAGAGTGTTTCAAATCTGCTCTGTCTAAAGGGACGTTCCACTCTGTCAGTTGAATGCACACAACACAAAGAATTTACTGAGAATTCTTCCGTCTAGCATTCAATGAAGAAATCCCGTTTCCAACGAAGGCCTCAAACAGGTCCATATATCCACTTGCAGACTTTACAAACAGTGTGTTTCCAAACTCCTCTATGAAAAGAAAGGTTAAACTCTGTGAGTTGAACGCACACATCACAAAGCACTTTCTGAGAATGATTCTGTCTGGTTGTTATACGAAGATATTTCCTTTTCTGCAATTGTCCTCAAATCGCTTGAAATCTCCACCTGAAAATGCCACAGCAAGAGTGTTTCAAATCTGCTCTCTCTAAAGCAAGGTTCAACTCTGTGAGTTGAATACACACAACACAAAAAAGTTACTGAGAACTCTTCTTAGTCTAGCATGAAAGGAAGAAACCCCGTTTGCAACGAAGGCCTCAAAGAGGTCCAAATATCCACTTGCAGACATAACAAGCAGAGTGTTTCTAAACTGCTCTAAGAAAAGAAAGGTTAAACTATGTGAGTTGAACGCACACATCACAAAGAATTTTCTGAGAATGATTCTGTCTAGTTTTTATTTGAAGATATTTCCTTTTCTACTGTTGGCATCAAATCGCTTGAAATCTCCACTTGCAAACTCCACAAAAAGAGTGTTTAAAATCTGCTCTGTGCAAAGGGACGTTCCACTCTGTGAGTTGAATACACACAGCACAAAGAAGTTACTGAGAATTCTTCTGTCTAGCATGAAATGAAGAAATCCCGTTTCCAACGAAGGCCTCAATGCGGTCCATATATCCACTTGCAGACTTTACAAACAGAGTGTTTCCAAACTGCTCTATGAAAAGAAAGGTTAAACTATGTGAGTTGAACGCACACATCACAAAGAATTTTCTGAGAATGATTCTGTCTGGTTTTTATTTGAAGATGTTTCCCTTTCTACTGTTGGCATCAAATGGCTAGAAATCTCCACTTGCAAATTCCGCAAAAAGAGTGTTTCAAATCTGCTCTGTCTAAACGGACGTTTCACTTCTGTGAGTTGAATGCACACAACACAAAGAATTTACTGAGAATTCTTCCGTCTAGCATTCAATTTAAGAAATCCCGTTTCCAACGAAGGCCTCAAACAGGTCCATATATCCAATTGCAGACTTTACAAACAGTGTGTTTCCAAACTCCTCTATGGAAAGAAAGGTTAAACTCTGTGAGTTGAACGCACACATCACAAAGCACTTTCTGAGAATGATTCTGTCTGGTTGTTATACGAAGATATTTCCTTTTCTGCAATTGTCCTCAAATCGCTTGAAATCTCCACCTGAAAATGCCACAGCAAGAGTGTTTCAAATCTGCTCTCTCTAAAGCAAGGTTCAACTCTGTGAGTTGAATACACACAACACAAAAAAGTTACTGAGAACTCTTCTTAGTCTAGCATTAAAGGAAGAAACCCCGTTTGCAACGAAGGCCTCAAAGAGGTCCAAATATCCACTTGCAGACATAACAAGCAGAGTGTTTCTAAACTGCTCTAAGAAAAGAAAGGTTAAACTCTGTGAGTTGAAGGCACACATCACAAAGTAGATTCTAAATGATTCTGTCTAGTTTTTATTTGAAGATATTTCCTTTTCTACTGTTGGCATCAAATCGCTTGAAATCTCCACCTGCAAATTCCACAAAGAGTGTTTCAAATCTGCTCTGTGCAAAGGGACGTTCCACTCTGTGAGTTGAATACACACAGCACAAAGAAGTTACTGAGAATTCTTCTGTCTAGCATGAAATGAAGAAATCCCGTTTCCAACGAAGGCCTCAATGCGGTCCATATATCCACTTGCAGACTTTACAAACAGAGTGTTTCCAAACTGCTCTATGAAAAGAAAGGTTAAACTATGTGAGTTGAACGCACACATCACAAAGAATTTTCTGAGAATGATTCTGTCTGGTTTTTATTTGAAGATATTTCCCTTTCTACTGTTGGCATCTAATGGCTAGAAATCTCCACTTGCAAATTCCGCAAAAAGAGTGTTTCAAATCTGCTCTGTCTAAAGGGACGTTCCACTCTGTGAGTTGAATGCACACAACACAAAGAATTTACTGAGAATTCTTCCGTCTAGCATTCAATGAAGAAATCCCGTTTCCAACGAAGGCCTCAAACAGGTCCATATATCCACTTGCAGACTTTACAAACAGTGTGTTTCCAAACTCCTCTATGAAAAGAAAGGTTAAACTCTGTGAGTGGAACGCACACATCACAAAGCACTTTCTGAGAATGATTCTGTCTGGTTATTATACGAAGATATTTCCTTTTCTGCAATTGTCCT
The DNA here is from genome assembly GCF_000001405.40 of Homo sapiens. NCBI lineage: Eukaryota > Metazoa > Chordata > Mammalia > Primates > Hominidae > Homo > Homo sapiens. The sequence goes on along the minus strand of NC_000007.14, from coordinate 58,491,330 downwards.
CAAATCGCTTGAAATCTCCACCTGAAAATGCCACAGCAAGAGTGTTTCAAATCTGCTCTCTCTAAAGCAAGGTTCAACTCTGTGAGTTGAATACACACAACACAAAAAAGTTACTGAGAACTCTTCTTAGTCTAGCATGAAAGGAAGAAACCCCGTTTGCAACGAAGGCCTCAAAGAGGTCCAAATATCCACTTGCAGACATAACAAGCAGAGTGTTTCTAACCTGCTCTAAGAAAAGAAAGGTTAAACTCTGTGAGTTGAAGGCACACATCACAAAGTAGTTTCTGAGAATGATTCTGTCTAGTTTTTATTTGAAGATATTTCCTTTTCTACTGTTGGCATCAAATCGCTTGAAATCTCCACTTGCAAACTCCACAAAAAGAGTGTTTCAAATCTGCTCTGTGCAAAGGGACGTTCCACTCTGTGAGTTGAGTACAAACAGCACAAAGAAGTTACTGAGAATTCTTCTGTCTAGCATGAAATGAAGAAATCCCGTTTCCAACGAAGGCCTCAATGCGGTCCATATATCCACTTGCAGACTTTACAAACAGAGTGTTTCCAAACTGCTCTATGAAAAGAAAGGTTAAACTATGTGAGTTGAACGCACACATCACAAAGAATTTTCTGAGAATGATTCTGCCTGGTTTTTATTTGAAGATATTTCCCTTTCTACTGTTGGCATCAAATGGCTAGAAATCTCCACTTGCAAATTCCGCAAAAAGAGTGTTTCAAATCTGCTCTGTCTAAAGGGACGTTCCACTCTGTGAGTTGAATGCACACAACACAAAGAATTTACTGAGAATTACTCCGTCTAGCTTTCAATGAAGAAATCCCGTTTCCAACGAAGGCCTCAAACAGGTTCATATATCCAATTGCAGACTTTACAAACAGTGTGTTTCCAAACTCCTCTATGAAAAGAAAGGTTAAACTCTGTGAGTTGAACGCACACATCACAAAGCACTTTCTGAGAATGATTCTGTCTGGTTGTTATACGAAGATATTTCCTTTTCTGCAATTGTCCTCAAATCGCTTGAAATCTCCACCTGAAAATGCCACAGCAAGAGTGTTTCAAATCTGCTCTCTCTAAAGCAAGGTTCAACTCTGTGAGTTGAATACACACAACACAAAAAAGTTACTGAGAACTCTTCTTAGTCTAGCATGAAAGGAAGAAACCCCGTTTGCAACGAAGGCCTCAAAGAGGTCCAAATATCCACTTGCAGACATAACAAGCAGAGTGTTTCTAAACTGCTCTAAGAAAAGAAAGGTTAAACTCTGTGAGTTGAAGGCACACATCACAAAGTAGTTTCTGAGAATGATTCTGTCTAGTTTTTATTTGAAGATATTTCCTTTTCTACTGTTGGCATCAAATCGCTTGAAGTCTCCACTTGCAAATTCCACAAAAAGAGTGTTTCAAATCTGCTCTGTGCAAAGGGACGTTCCACTCTGTGAGTTGAATACACACAGCACAAAGAAGTTACTGAGAATTCTTCTGTCTAGCATGAAATGAAGAAATCCCGTTTCCAACAAAGGCCTCAATGCGGTCCATATATCCACTTGCAGACTTTACAAACAGAGTGTTTCCAAACTGCTCTATGAAAAGAAAGGTTAAACTATGTGAGTTGAACGCACACATCACAAAGAAATTTCTGAGAATGATTCTGTCTGGTTTTTATTTGAAGATGTTTCCCTTTCTACTGTTGGCATCAAATGGCTAGAAATCTCCACTTGCAAATTCCGCAAAAAGAGTGTTTCAAATCTGCTCTGTCTAAAGGGACGTTCCACTCTGTCAGTTGAATGCACACAACACAAAGAATTTACTGAGAATTCTTCCGTCTAGCATTCAATGAAGAAATCCCGTTTCCAACGAAGGCCTCAAACAGGTCCATATATCCAATTGCAGACTTTACAAACAGTGTGTTTCCAAACTCCTCTTTGGAAAGAAAGGTTAAACTCTGTGAGTTGAACGCACACATCACAAAGCACTTTCTGAGAATGATTCTGTCTGGTTATTATACGAAGATATTTCCTTTTCTGCAATTGTCCTCAAATCGCTTGAAATCTCCACCTGAAAATGCCACAGCAAGAGTGTTTCAAATCTGCTCTCTCTAAAGCAAGGTTCAACTCTGTGAGTTGAATACACACAACACAAAAAAGTTACTGAGAACTCTTCTTAGTCTAGCATGAAAGGAAGAAACCCCGTTTGCAACGAAGGCCTCAAAGAGGTCCAAATATCCACTTGCAGACATAACAAGCAGAGTGTTTCTAAACTGCTCTAAGAAAAGAAAGGTTAAACTCTGTGAGTTGAAGGCACACATCACAAAGTAGTTTCTGAGAATGATTCTGTCTAGTTTTTATTTGAAGATATTTCCTTTTCTACTGTTGGCATCAAATCGCTTGAAATCTCCACTTGCAAACTCCACAAAAAGAGTGTTTCAAATCCGCTCTGTGCAAAGGGACGTTCCACTCTGTGAGTTGAATACACACAGCACAAAGAAGTTACTGAGAATTCTTCTGTCTAGCATGAAATGAAGAAATCCCGTTTCCAACGAAGGCCTCAATGCGGTCCATATATCCACTTGCAGACTTTACAAACAGAGTGTTTCCAAACTGCTCTATGAAAAGAAAGGTTAAACTATGTGAGTTGAACGCACACATCACAAAGAATTTTCTGAGAATGATTCTGTCTGGTTTTTATTTGAAGATATTTCCCTTTCTACTGTTGGCATCAAATGGCTAGAAATCTCCACTTGCAAATTCCGCAAAAAGAGTGTTTCAAATCTGCTCTGTCTAAAGGGACGTTCCACTCTGTGAGTTGAATGCACACAACACAAAGAATTTACTGAGAATTCTTCCGTCTAGCATTCAATGAAGAAATCCCGTTTCCAATGAAGGCCTCAAACAGGTCCATATATCCAATTGCAGACTTTACAAACAGTGTGTTTCCAAACTCCTCTATGAAAAGAAAGGTTAAACTCTGTGAGTTGAACGCACACATCACAAAGCACTTTCTGAGAATGATTCTGTCTGGTTTTTATTTGAAGATATTTCCCTTTCTACTGTTGGCCATCAAATGGCTAGAAATCTCCACTTGCAAATTCCGCAAAAAGAGTGTTTCAAATCTGCTCTGTCTAAAGGGACGTTCCACTCTGTGAGTTGAATGCACACAACACAAAGAATTTACTGAGAATTCTTCCGTCTAGCATTCAATGAAGAAATCCCGTTTCCAACGAAGGCCTCAAAGAGGTCCATATATCCACTTGCAGACTTTACAAACAGTGTGTTTCCAAACTCCTCTATGAAAAGAAAGGTTAAACTCTGTGAGTGGAACGCACACATCACAAAGCACTTTCTGAGAATGATTCTGTCTGGTTATTATACGAAGATATTTCCTTTTCTGCAATTGTCCTCAAATCGCTTGAAATCTCCACCTGAAAATGCCACAGCAAGAGTGTTTCAAATCTGCTCTCTCTAAAGCAAGGTTCAACTCTGTGAGTTGAATACACACAACACAAAAAAGTTACTGAGAACTCTTCTTAGTCTAGCATGAAAGGAAGAAACCCCGTTTGCAACGAAGGCCTCAAAGAGGTCCAAATATCCACTTGCAGACATAACAAGCAGAGTGTTTCTAACCTGCTCTAAGAAAAGAAAGGTTAAACTCTGTGAGTTGAAGGCACACATCACAAAGTAGTTTCTGAGAATGATTCTGTCTAGTTTTTATTTGAAGATATTTCCTTTTCTACTGTTGGCATCAAATCGCTTGAAATCTCCACTTGCAAACTCCACAAAAAGAGTGTTTCAAATCTGCTCTGTGCAAAGGGACGTTCCACTCTGTGAGTTGAATACACACAGCACAAAGAAGTTACTGAGAATTCTTCTGTCTAGCATGAAATGAAGAAATCCCGTTTCCAACGAAGGCCTCAATGCGGTCCATATATCCACTTGCAGACTTTACAAACAGAGTGTTTCCAAACTGCTCTATGAAAAGAAAGGTTAAACTATGTGAGTTGAACGCACACATCACAAAGAATTTTCTGAGAATGATTCTGTCTGGTTTTTATTTGAAGATATTTCCCTTTCTACTGTTGGCATCAAATGGCTAGAAATCTCCACTTGCAAATTCCGCAAAAAGAGTGTTTCAAATCTGCTCTGTCTAAAGGGACGTTCCACTCTGTGAGTTGAATGCACACAACACAAAGAATTTACTGAGAATTCTTCCGTCTAGCATTCAATGAAGAAATCCCGTTTCCAACGGAGGCCTCAAACAGGTCCATATATCCAATTGCAGACTTTACAAACAGTGTGTTTCCAAACTCCTCTATGAAAAGAAAGGTTAAACTCTGTGAGTTGAACGCACACATCACAAAGCACTTTCTGAGAATGATTCTGTCTGGTTATTATACGAAGATATTTCCTTTTCTGCAATTGTCCTCAAATCGCTTGAAATCTCCACCTGAAAATGCCACAGCAAGAGTGTTTCAAATCTGCTCTCTCTAAAGCAAGGTTCAACTCTGTGAGTTGAATACACACAACACAAAAAAGTTACTGAGAACTCTTCTTAGTCTAGCATTAAAGGAAGAAACCCCGTTTGCAACGAAGGCCTCAAAGAGGTCCAAATATCCACTTGCAGACATAACAAGCAGAGTGTTTCTAAACTGCTCTAAGAAAAGAAAGGTTAAACTCTGTGAGTTGAAGGCACACATCACAAAGTAGTTTCTGAGAATGATTCTGTCTAGTTTTTATTTGAAGATATTTCCTTTTCTACTGTTGGCATCAAATCGCTTGAAATCTCCACTTGCAAACTCCACAAAAAGAGTGTTTCAAATCTGCTCTGTGTAAAGGGACGTTCCACTCTGTGGGTTGAATACACACAGCACAAAGAAGTTACTGAGAATTCTTCTGTCTAGCATGAAATGAAGAAATCCCGTTTCCAACGAAGGCCTCAATGCGGTCCATATATCCACTTGCAGACTTTACAAACAGAGTGTTTCCAAACTGCTCTATGAAAAGAAAGCTTAAACTATGTGAGTTGAACGCACACATCACAAAGAATTTTCTGAGAATGATTCTGTCTGGTTTTTATTTGAAGATATTTCCCTTTCTACTGTTGGCATCAAATGGCTAGAAATCTGCACTTGCAAATTCCGCAAAAAGAGTGTTTCAAATCTGCTCTGTCTAAAGGGACGTTCCACTCTGTCAGTTGAATGCACACAACACAAAGAATTTACTGAGAATTCTTCCGTCTAGCATTCAATGAAGAAATCCCGTTTCCAACGAAGGCCTCAAACAGGTCCATATATCCACTTGCAGACTTTACAAACAGTGTGTTTCCAAACTCCTCTATGAAAAGAAAGGTTAAACTCTGTGAGTGGAACGCACACATCACAAAGCACTTTCTGAGAATGATTCTGTCTGGTTATTATACGAAGATATTTCCTTTTCTGCAATTGTCCTCAAATCGCTTGAAATCTCCACCTGAAAATGCCACAGCAAGAGTGTTTCAAATCTGCTCTCTCTAAAGCAAGGTTCAACTCTGTGAGTTGAATACACACAACACAAAAAAGTTACTGAGAACTCTTCTTAGTCTAGCATGAAAGGAAGAAACCCCGTTTGCAACGAAGGCCTCAAAGAGGTCCAAATATCCACTTGCAGACATAACAAGCAGAGTGTTTCTAAACTGCTCTAAGAAAAGAAAGGTTAAACTCTGTGAGTTGAAGGCACACATCACAAAGTAGTTTCTGAGAATGATTCTGTCTAGTTTTTATTTGAAGATATTTCCTTTTCTACTGTTGGCATCAAATCGCTTGAAATCTCCACTTGCAAACTCCACAAAAAGAGTGTTTCAAATCAGCTCTGTGTAAAGGGACGTTCCACTCTGTGAGTTGAATACACACAGCACAAAGAAGTTACTGAGAATTCTTCTGTCTAGCATGAAATGAAGAAATCCCGTTTCCAACGAAGGCCTCAATGCGGTCCATATATCCACTTGCAGACTTTACAAACAGAGTGTTTCCAAACTGCTCTATGAAAAGAAAGGTTAAACTATGTGAGTTGAACGCACACATCACAAAGAATTTTCTGAGAATGATTCTGTCTGGTTTTTATTTGAAGATATTTCCCTTTCTACTGTTGGCATCAAATGGCTAGAAATCTCCACTTGCAAATTCCGCAAAAAGAGTGTTTCAAATCTGCTCTGTCTAAAGGGACAGTTCCACTCTGTCAGTTGAATGCACACAACACAAAGAATTTACTGAGAATTCTTCCGTCTAGCATTCAATGAAGAAATCCCGTTTCCAACGAAGGCCTCAAAGAGGTCCATATATCCACTTGCAGACTTTACAAACAGTGTGTTTCCAAACTCCTCTATGAAAAGAAAGGTTAAACTCTGTGAGTGGAACGCACACATCACAAAGCACTTTCTGAGAATGATTCTGTCTGGTTATTATACGAAGATATTTCCTTTTCTGCAATTGTCCTCAAATCGCTTGAAATCTCCACCTGAAAATGCCACAGCAAGAGTGTTTCAAATCTGCTCTCTCTAAAGCAAGGTTCAACTCTGTGAGTTGAATACACACAACACAAAAAAGTTACTGAGAACTCTTCTTAGTCTAGCATGAAAGGAAGAAACCCCGTTTGCAACGAAGGCCTCAAAGAGGTCCAAATATCCACTTGCAGACATAACAAGCAGAGTGTTTCTAAACTGCTCTAAGAAAAGAAAGGTTAAACTGCTGTGAGTTGAAGGCACACATCACAAAGTAGTTTCTGAGAATGATTCTGTCTAGTTTTTATTTGAAGATATTTCCTTTTCTACTGTTGGCATCAAATCGCTTGAAATCTCCACTTGCAAACTCCACAAAAAGAGTGTTTCAAATCTGCTCTGTGTAAAGTGACGTTCCACTCTGTGAGTTGAATACACACAGCACAAAGAAGTTACTGAGAATTCTTCTGTCTAGCATGAAATGAAGAAATCCCGTTTCCAACGAAGGCCTCAATGCGGTCCATATATACACTTGCAGACTTTACAAACAGAGTGTTTCCAAACTGCTCTATGAAAAGAAAGGTTAAACTATGTGAGTTCAACGCACACATCACAAAGAATTTTCTGAGAATGATTCTGTCTGGTTTTTATTTGAAGATATTTCCCTTTCTACTGTTGACATCAAATGGCTAGAAATCTCCACTTGCAAATTCCGCAAAATGAGTGTTTCAAATCTGCTCTGTCTAAAGGGACGTTCCACTCTGTGAGTTCAATGCACACAACACAAATAATTTACTGAGAATTCTTCCGTCTAGCATTCAATGAAGAAATCCCGTTTCCAACGGAGGCCTCAAACAGGTCCATATATCCAATTGCAGACTTTACAAACAGTGTGTTTCCAAGCTCCTCTATGAAAAGAATGGTTAAACTCTGTGAGTTGAACGCACACATCACAAAGCACTTTCTGAGAATGATTCTGTCTGGTTATTATACGAAGATATTTCCTTTTCTGCAATTGTCCTCAAATCGCTTGAAATCTCCACCTGAAAATTCCACAGCGAGAGTGTTTCAAATCTGCTCTCTCTAAAGCAAGGTTCAACTACTGTGAGTTGAATACACACAACACAAAAAAGTTACTGAGAACTCTTCTTAGTCTAGCATTAAAGGAAGAAACCCCTTTTGCAACGAAGGCCTCAAAGAGGTCCAAATATCCACTTGCAGACATAACAAGCAGAGTGTTTCTAAACTGCTCTAAGAAAAGAAAGGTTAAACTCTGTGAGTTGAAGGCACACATCACAAAGTAGTTTCTGAGAATGATTCTGTCTAGTTTTTATTTGAAGATATTTCATTTTCTACTGTTGGCATCAAATCGCTTGAAATCTCCACTTGCAAACTCCACAAAAAGAGTGTTTCAAATCTGCTCTGTGTAAAGGGACGTTCCACTCTGTGAGTTGAATACACACAGCACAAAGAAGTTACTGAGAATTCTTCTGTCTAGCATGAAATGAAGAAATCCCGTTTCCAACGAAGGCCTCAATGCGGTCCATAGATCCACTTGCAGACTTTACAAACAGAGTGTTTCCAAACTGCTCTATGAAAAGAAAGGTTAAACTATGTGAGTTGAACGCACACATCACAAAGAATTTTCTGAGAATGATTCTGTCTGGTTTTTATTTGAAGATATTTCCCTTTCTACTGTTGGCATCAAACGGCTAGAAATCTCCACTTGCAAATTCCGCAAAAAGAGTGTTTCAAATCTGCTCTGTCTAAAGGGACGTTCCACTCTGTGAGTTGAATGCACACAACACAAAGAATTTACTGAGAATTCTTCCGTCTAGCATTCAATGAAGAAATCCCGTTTCCAACGAAGGCCTCAAACAGGTCCATATATCCACTTGCAGAGTTTACAAACAGTGTGTTTCCAAACTCCTCTATGAAAAGAAAGGTTAAACTCTGTGAGTGGAACGCACACATCACAAAGCACTTTCTGAGAATGATTCTGTCTGGTTATTATACGAAGATATTTCCTTTTCTGCAATTGTCCTCAAATCGCTTGAAATCTCCACCTGAAAATGCCACAGCAAGAGTGTTTCAAATCTGCTCTCTCTAAAGCAAGGTTCAACTCTGTGAGTTGAATACACACAACACAAAAAAGTTACTGAGAACTCTTCTTAGTCTAGCATGAAAGGAAGAAACCCCGTTTGCAACGAAGGCCTCAAAGAGGTCCAAATATCCACTTGCAGACATAACAAGCAGAGTGTTTCTAAACTGCTCTAAGAAAAGAAAGGTTAAACTCTGTGAGTTGAAGGCACACATCACAAAGTAGTTTCTGAGAATGATTCTGTCTAGTTTTTATTTGAAGATATTTCCTTTTCTACATTTGGCATCAAATCTCTTGAAATCTCCACTTGCAAACTCCACAAAAAGAGTGTTTCAAATCTGCTCTGTGTGAAGGGACGTTCCACTCTGTGAGTTGAATACACACAGCACAAAGAAGTCACTGAGAATTCTTCTGTCTAGCATGAAATGAAGAAATCCCGTTTCCAACGAAGGCCTCAATGCGGTCCATATATCCACTTGCAGACTTTACAAACAGAGTGTTTCCAAACTGCTCTATGAAAAGAAAGGTTAAACTATGTGAGTTGAACGCACACATCACAAAGAATTTTCTGAGAATGATTCTGTCTGGTTTTTATTTGAAGATATTTCCCTTTCTACTGTTGGCATCAAATGGCTAGAAATCTCCACTTGCAAATTCCGCAAAAAGAGTGTTTCAAATCTGCTCTGTCTAAAGGGACGTTCCACTCTGTGAGTTGAATGCACACAACACAAAGAATTTACTGAGAATTCTTCCGTCTAGCATTCAATGAAGAAATCCCATTTCCTACGAAGGCCTCAAACAGGTCCATATATCCAATTGCAGACTTTACAAACAGTGTGTTTCCAAACTCCTCTATGAAAAGAAAGGTTAAACTCTGTGAGTTGAACGCACACATCACAAAGCACTTTCTGAGAATGATTCTGTCTGGTTATTATACGAAGATATTTCCTTTTCTGCAATTGTCCTCAAATCGCTTGAAATCTCCACCTGAAAATTCCACAGCGAGAGTGTTTCAAATCTGCTCTCTCTAAAGCAAGGTTCAACTCTGTGAGTTGAATAAACACAACACAAAAAAGTTACTGAGAACTCTTCTTAGTCTAGCATGAAAGGAAGAAACCCCGTTTGCAACGAAGGCCTCAAAGAGGTCCAAATATCCACTTGCAGACATAACAAGCAGAGTGTTTCTAAACTGCTCTAAGAAAAGAAAGGTTAAACTCTGTGAGTTGAAGGCACACATCACAAAGTAGTTTCTGAGAATGATTCTGTCTAGTTTTTATTTGAAGATATTTCCTTTTCTACTGTTGGCATCAAATCGCTTGAAATCTCCACTTGCAAATTCCACAAAAAGAGTGTTTCAAATCTGCTCTGTGCAAAGGGACGTTCCACTCTGTGAGTTGAATACACACAGCACAAAGAAGTTACTGAGAATTCCTTCTGTCTAGCATGAAATGAAGAAATCCCGTTTCCAACGAAGCCTCAATGCGGTCCATATATCCACTTGCAGACTTTACAAACAGAGTGTTTCCAAACTGCTCTATGAAAAGAAAGGTTAAACTATGTGAGTTGAACGCACACATCACAAAGAATTTTCTGAGAATGATTCTGTCTGGTTTTTATTTGAAGATATTTCCCTTTCTACTGTTGGCATCAAATGGCTAGAAATCTCCACTTGCAAATTCCGCAAAAAGAGTGTTTCAAATCTGCTCTGTCTAAAGGGACGTTCCACTCTGTGAGTTGAATGCACACAACACAAAGAATTTACTGAGAATTCTTCCGTCTAGCATTCAATGAAGAAATCCCGTTTCCAACGAAGGCCTCAAACAGGTCCATATATCCACTTGCAGAGTTTACAAACAGTGTGTTTCCAAACTCCTCTATGAAAAGAAAGGTTAAACTCTGTGAGTGGAACGCACACATCACAAAGCACTTTCTGAGAATGATTCTGTCTGGTTGTTATACGAAGATATTTCCTTTTCTGCAATTGTCCTCAAATCGCTTGAAATCTCCACCTGAAAATGCCACAGCAAGAGTGTTTCAAATCTGCTCTCTCTAAAGCAAGGTTCAACTCTGTGAGTTGAATACACACAACACAAAAAAGTTACTGAGAACTCTTCTTAGTCTAGCATGAAAGGAAGAAACCCCGTTTGCAACGAAGGCCTCAAAGAGGTCCAAATATCCACTTGCAGACATAACAAGCAGAGTGTTTCTAAACTGCTCTAAGAAAAGAAAGGTTAAACTCTGTGAGTTGAAGGCACACATCACAAAGTAGTTTCTGAGAATGATTCTGTCTAGTTTTTATTTGAAGATATTTCCTTTTCTACTGTTGGCATCAAATCGCTTGAAATCTCCACTTGCAAATTCCACAAAAAGAGTGTTTCAAATCTGCTCTGTGCAAAGGGACGTTCCACTCTGTGAGTTGAATACACACAGCACAAAGAAGTTACTGAGAATTCTTCTGTCTAGCATGAAATGAAGAAATCCCGTTTCCAACGAAGGCCTCAATGCGGTCCATAGATCCACTTGCAGACTTTACAAACAGAGTGTTTCCAAACTGCTCTATGAAAAGAAAGGTTAAACTATGTGAGTTGAACGCACACATCACAAAGAATTTTCTGAGAATGATTCTGTCTGGTTTTTATTTGAAGATATTTCCCTTTCTACTGTTGGCATCAAACGGCTAGAAATCTCCACTTGCAAATTCCGCAAAAAGAGTGTTTCAAATCTGCTCTGTCTAAAGGGACGTTCCACTCTGTGAGTTGAATGCACACAACACAAAGAATTTACTGAGAATTCTTCCGTCTAGCATTCAATGAAGAAATCCCGTTTCCAACGAAGGCCTCAAACAGGTCCATATATCCACTTGCAGACTTTACAAACAGTGTGTTTCCAAACTCCTCTATGAAAAGAAAGGTTAAACTCTGTGAGTGGAACGCACACATCACAAAGCACTTTCTGAGAATGATTCTGTCTGGTTATTATACGAAGATATTTCCTTTTCTGCAATTGTCCTCAAATCGCTTGAAATCTCCACCTGAAAATGCCACAGCAAGAGTGTTTCAAATCTGCTCTCTCTAAAGCAAGGTTCAACTCTGTGAGTTGAATACACACAACACAAAAAAGTTACTGAGAACTCTTCTTAGTCTAGCATGAAAGGAAGAAACCCCGTTTGCAACGAAGGCCTCAAAGAGGTCCAAATATCCACTTGCAGACATAACAAGCAGAGTGTTTCTAAACTGCTCTAAGAAAAGAAAGGTTAAACTCTGTGAGTTGAAGGCACACATCACAAAGTAGTTTCTGAGAATGATTCTGTCTAGTTTTTATTTGAAGATATTTCCTTTTCTACTGTTGGCATCAAATCGCTTGAAATCTCCACTTTCAAACTCCACAAAAAGAGTGTTTCAAATCTGCTCTGTGCAAAGGGACGTTCCACTCTGTGAGTTGAGTACACACAGCACAAAGAAGTTACTGAGAATTCTTCTGTCTAGCATGAAATGAAGAAATCCCGTTTCCAACGAAGGCCTCAATGCGGTCCATATATCCACTTGCAGACTTTACAAACAGAGTGTTTCCAAACTGCTCTATGAAAAGAAAGGTTAAACTATGTGAGTTGAACGCACACATCACAAAGAATTTTCTGAGAATGATTCTGTCTGGTTTTTATTTGAAGATATTTCCCTTTCTACTGTTGGCATCAAATGGCTGGAAATCTCCACTTGCAAATTCCGCAAAAAGAGTGTTTCAAATCTGCTCTGTCTAAAGGGACGTTCCACTCTGTCAGTTGAATGCACACAACACAAAGAATTTACTGAGAATTCTTCCGTCTAGCATTCAATGAAGAAATCCCGTTTCCAACGAAGGCCTCAAACAGGTCCATATATCCAATTGCAGACTTTACAAACAGTGTGTTTCCAAACTCCTCTATGAAAAGAAAGGTTAAACTCTGTGAGTTGAACGCACACATCACAAAGCACTTTCTGAGAATGATTCTGTCTGGTTATTATACGAAGATATTTCCTTTTCTGCAATTGTCCTCAAATCGCTTGAAATCTCCACCTGAAAATGCCACAGCAAGAGTGTTTCAAATCTGCTCTCTCTAAAGCAAGGTTCAACTCTGTGAGTTGAATACACACAACACAAAAAAGTTACTGAGAACTCTTCTTAGTCTAGCATTAAAGGAAGAAACCCCGTTTGCAACGAAGGCCTCAAAGAGGTCCAAATATCAACTTGCAGACATAACAAGCAGAGTGTTTCTAAGCTGCTCTCAGAAAAGAAAGGTTAAACTCGGTGAGTTGAAGGCACACATCACAAAGTAGTTTCTGAGAATGATTCTGTCTAGTTTTTATTTGAAAGATACTTCCTTTTCTACTGTTGGCATCAAATCGCTTGAAATCTCCACTTGCAAACTCCACAAAAAGAGTGTTTCAAATCTGCTCTGTGCAAAGGGACGTTCCACTCTGTGAGTTGAATACACACAGCACAAAGAAGTTACTGAGAATTCTTCTGTCTAGCATGAAATGAAGAAATCCCGTTTCCAACGAAGGCCTCAAGGCGGTCCATATATCCACTTGCAGACTTTACAAACAGAGTGTTTCCAAACTGCTCTATGAAAAGAAAGGTTAAACTATGTGAGTTGAACGCACACATCACAAAGAATTTTCTGAGAATGATTCTGTCTGGTTTTTATTTGAAGATATTTCCCTTTCTACTGTTGGCATCAAATGGCTAGAAATCTCCACTTGCAAATTCCGCAAAAAGAGTGTTTCAAATCTGCTCTGTCTAAAGGGACGTTCCACTCTGTGAGTTGAATGCACACAACACAAAGAATTTACTGAGAATTCTTCCGTCTAGCATTCAATGAAGAAATCCCGTTTCCAACGAAGGCCTCAAACAGGTCTTATATCCAATTGCAGACTTTACAAACAGTGTGTTTCCAAACTCCTCTATCAAAAGAAAGGTTAAACTCTGTGAGTTGAACGCACACATCACAAAGCACTTTCTGAGAATGATTCTGTCTGGTTATTATACGAAGATATTTCCTTTTCTGCAATTGTCCTCAAATCGCTTGAAATCTCCACCTGAAAATGCCACAGCAAGAGTGTTTCAAATCTGCTCTCTCTAAAGCAAGGTTCAACTCTGTGAGTTGAATACACACAACACAAAAAAGTTACTGAGAACTCTTCTTAGTCTAGCATTAAAGGAAAAAACCCCGTTTGCAACGAAGGCCTCAAAGAGGTCCAAATATCCACTTGCAGACATAAGAAGCAGAGTGTTTCTAAACTGCTCTAAGAAAAGAAAGGTTAAACTCTGTGAGATGAAGGCACACATCACAAAGAATTTTCTGAGAATGATTCTGTCTGGTTTTTATTTGAAGATATTTCCCTTTCTACTGTTGGCATCAAATGGCTAGAAATCTCCACTTGCAAATTCCGCAAAAAGAGTGTTTCAAATCTGCTCTGTCTAAAGGGACGTTCCACTCTGTGAGTTCAATGCACACAACACAAAGAATTTACTGAGAATTCTTCCGTCTAGCATTCAATGAAGAAATCCCGTTTCCAACGGAGGCCTCAAACAGGTCCATATATCCAATTGCAGACTTTACAAACAGTGTGTTTCCAAACTCCTCTATGAAAAGAAAGGTTAAACTCTGTGAGTTGAACGCACACATCACAAAGCACTTTCTGAGAATGATTCTGTCTGGTTATTATACGAAGATATTTCCTTTTCTGCAATTGTCCTCAAATCGCTTGAAATCTCCACCTGAAAATGCCACAGCAAGAGTGTTTCAAATCTGCTCTCTCTAAAGCAAGGTTCAACTCTGTGAGTTGAATACACACAACACAAAAAAGTTACTGAGAACTCTTCTTAGTCTAGCATGAAAGGAAGAAACCCCGTTTGCAACGAAGGCCTCAAAGAGGTCCAAATATCCACTTGCAGACATAACAAGCAGAGTGTTTCTAAAGTGCTCTAAGAAAAGAAAGGTTAAACTCTGTGAGTTGAAGGCACACATCACAAAGTAGTTTCTGAGAATGATTTCTGTGCTAGTTTTTATTTGAAGATACTTCCTTTTCTACTGTTGGCATCAAATCGCTTGAAATCTCCACTTGCAAACTCCACAAAAAGAGTGTTTCAAATCTGCTCTGTGCAAAGGGACGTTCCACTCTGTGAGTTGAATACACACAGCACAAAGAAGTTACTGAGAATTCTTCTGTCTAGCATGAAATGAAGAAATCCCGTTTCCAACGAAGGCCTCAATGCGGTCCATATATCCACTTGCAGACTTTACAAACAGAGTGTTTCCAAACTGCTCTATGAAAAGAAAGGTTAAACTATGTGAGTTGAATGCACACATCACAAAGAATTTTCTGAGAATGATTCTGTCTGGTTTTTATTTGAAGATATTTCCCTTTCTACTGTTGGCATCAAATGGCTAGAAATCTCCACTTGCAAATTCCGCAAAAAGAGTGTTTCAAATCTGCTCTGTCTAAAGGGACGTTCCACTCTGTGAGTTGAATGCACACAACACAAAGAATTTACTGAGAATTCTTCCGTCTAGCATTCAATGAAGAAATCCCGTTTCCAACGAAGGCCTCAAACAGGTCCATATATCCACTTGCAGACTTTACAAACAGTGTGTTTCCAAACTCCTCTATGAAAAGAAAGGTTAAACTCTGTGAGTGGAACGCACACATCACAAAGCACTTTCTGAGAATGATTCTGTCTGGTTATTATACGAAGATATTTCCTTTTCTGCAATTGTCCTCAAAACGCTTGAAATCTCCACCTGAAAATGCCACAGCAAGAGTGTTTCAAATCTGCTCTCTCTAAAGCAAGGTTCAACTCTGTGAGTTGAATACACACAACACAAAAAAGTTACTGAGAACTCTTCTTAGTCTAGCATGAAAGGAAGAAACCCCGTTTGCAACGAAGGCCTCAAAGAGGTCCAAATATCCACTTGCAGACATAACAAGCAGAGTGTTTCTAAACTGCTCTAAGAAAAGAAAGGTTAAACTCTGTGAGTTGAAGGCACACATCACAAAGTAGTTTCTGAGAATGATTCTGTCTAGTTTTTATTTGAAGATATTTCCTTTTCTACTGTTGGCATCAAATCGCTTGAAATCTCCACTTGCAAACTCCACAAAAAGAGTGTTTCAAATCTGCTCTGTGCAAAGGGACGTTCCACTCTGTGAGTTGAATACACACAGCACAAAGAAGTTACTGAGAATTCTTCTGTCTAGCATGAAATGAAGAAATCCCGTTTCCAACGAAGGCCTCAATGCGGTCCATATATCCACTTGCAGACTTTACAAACAGAGTGTTTCCAAACTGCTCTATGAAAAGAAAGGTTAAACTATGTGAGTTGAACGCACACATCACAAAGAATTTTCTGAGAATGATTCTGTCTGGTTTTTATTTGAAGATATTTCCCTTTCTACTGTTGGCATCAAATGGCTAGAAATCTCCACTTGCAAATTCCGCAAAAAGAGTGTTTCAAATCTGCTCTGTCTAAAGGGACGTTCCACTCTGTGAGTTGAATGCACACAACACAAAGAATTTACTGAGAATTCTTCCGTCTAGCATTCAATGAAGAAATCCCGTTTCCAACGAAGGCCTCAAACAGGTCCATATATCCACTTGCAGACTTTACAAACAGTGTGTTTCCAATCTCCTCTATGAAAAGAAAGGTTAAACTCTGTGAGTTGAACGCACACATCACAAAGCACTTTCTGAGAATGATTCTGTCTGGTTATTATACGAAGATATTTCCTTTTCTGCAATTGTCCTCAAATCGCTTGAAATCTCCACCTGAAAATGCCACAGCAAGAGTGTTTCAAATCTGCTCTCTCTAAAGCAAGGTTCAACTCTGTGAGTTGAATACACACAACACAAAAAAGTTACTGAGAACTCTTCTTAGTCTAGCATGAAAGGAAGAAACCCCGTTTGCAACGAAGGCCTCAAAGAGGTCCAAATATCCACTTGCAGACATAACAAGCAGAGTGTTTCTAAACTGCTCTAAGAAAAGAAAGGTTAAACTCTGTGAGTTGAAGGCACACATCACAAAGTAGTTTCTGAGAATGATTCTGTCTAGTTTTTATTTGAAGATATTTCCTTTTCTACTGTTGGCATCAAATCGCTTGAAATCTCCACTTGCAAACTCCACAAAAAGAGTGTTTCAAATCTGCTCTGTGTAAAGGGACGTTCCACTCTGTGAGTTGAATACACACAGCACAAAGAAGTTACTGAGAATTCTTCTGTCTAGCATGAAATGAAGAAATCCCGTTTCCAACGAAGGCCTCAATGCGGTCCATATATCCACTTTCAGACTTTACAAACAGAGTGTTTCCAAACTGCTCTATGAAAAGAAAGGTTAAACTATGTGAGTTGAACGCACACATCACAAAGAATTTTCTGAGAATGATTCTGTCTGGTTTTTATTTGAAGATATTTCCCTTTCTACTGTTGGCATCAAATGGCTAGAAATCTCCACTTGCAAATTCCGCAAAAAGAGTGTTTCAAATCTGCTCTGTCTAAAGGGACGTTCCACTCTGTGAGTTGAATGCACACAACACAAAGAATTTACTGAGAATTCTTCCGTCTAGCATTCAATGAAGAAATCCCGTTTCCAACGAAGGCCTCAAACAGGTCCATATATCCACTTGCAGAGTTTACAAACAGTGTGTTTCCAAACTCCTCTATGAAAAGAAAGGTTAAACTCTGTGAGTGGAACGCACACATCACAAAGCACTTTCTGAGAATGATTCTGTCTGGTTATTATACGAAGATATTTCCTTTTCTGCAATTGTCCTCAAAACGCTTGAAATCTCCACCTGAAAATGCCACAGCAAGAGTGTTTCAAATCTGCTCTCTCTAAAGCAAGGTTCAACTCTGTGAGTTGAATATACACAACACAGAAAAGTTACTGAGAACTCTTCTTAGTCTAGCATGAAAGGAAGAAACCCCGTTTGCAACGAAGGCCTCAAAGAGGTCCAAATATCCACTTGCAGACATAACAAGCAGAGTGTTTCTAAACTGCTCTAAGAAAAGAAAGGTTAAACTCTGTGAGTTGAAGGCACACATCACAAAGTAGTTTCTGAGAATGATTCTGTCTAGTTTTTATTTGAAGATATTTCCTTTTCTACTGTTGGCATCAAATCGCTTGAAATCTCCACTTGCAAATTCCACAAAAAGAGTGTTTCAAATCTGCTCTGTGTAAAGGGACGTTCCACTCTGTGAGTTGAATACACACAGCACAAAGAAGTTACTGAGAATTCTTCTGTCTAGCATGAAATGAAGAAATCCCGTTTCCAACGAAGGCCTCAATGCGGTCCATATATCCACTTGCAGACTTTGCAAACAGAGTGTTTCCAAACTGCTCTATGAAAAGAAAGGTTAAACTATGTGATTTGAACGCACACATCACAAAGAATTTTATGAGAATGATTCTGTCTTGTTTTTATTTGAAGATATTTCCCTTTCTACTGTTGGCATCAAATGGCTAGAAATCTCCACTTGCAAATTCCGCAAAAAGAGTGTTTCAAATCTGCTCTGTCTAAAGGGACGTTCCACTCTGTGAGTTGAATGCACACAACACAAAGAATTTACTGAGAATTCTTCCGTCTAGCATTCAATGAAGAAATCCCGTTTCCAACGAAGGCCTCAAACAGGTCCATATATCCAATTGCAGACTTTACAAACAGTGTGTTTCCAAACTCCTTTATGAAAAGAAAGGTTAACTCTGTGAGTTGAATGCACACATCACAAAGCACTTTCTGAGAATGATTCTGTCTAGTTTTTGTTTGCAGATATTTCCTTTTCTACTGTTGGCATCAAATCGCTTGAAATCTCCACTTGCAAACTCCACAAAAAGAGTGTTTCAAATCTGCTCTGTGTAAAGGGACGTTCCACTCTGTGAGTTGAATACACACAGCACAAAGAAGTTACTGAGAATTCTTCTGTCTAGCATGAAATGAAGAAATCCCGTTTCCAACGAAGGCCTCAAAGCGGTCCATATATCCACTTGCAGACATTACCAACAGAGTGTTCCCAAACTGCTCTATGAAAAGAAAGGTTAAACTATGTGAGTTGAACGCACACATCACAAAGAATTTTCTGAGAATGATTCTGTCTGGTTTTTATTTGAAGATATTTCCCTTTCTACTGTTGGCATCAAATGGCTAGAAATCTCCACTTGCAAATTCCGCAAAAAGAGTGTTTCAAATCTGCTCTGTCTTAAGGGACGTTCCACTCTGTCAGTTGAATGCACACAACACAAAGAATTTACTGAGAATTCTTCCGTCTAGCATTCAATGAAGAAATCCCGTTTCCAACGAAGGCCTCAAACAGCTCCATATATCCAATTGCAGACTTTACAAACAGTGTGTTTCCAAACTCCTCTATGAAAAGAAAGGTTTAAACTCTGTGAGTTGAACGCACACATCACAAAGCACTTTCTGAGAATGATTCTGTCTGGTTGTTATACGAAGATATTTCCTTTTCTGCAATTGTCCTCAAATCGCTTGAAATCTCCACCTGAAAATGCCACAGCAAGAGTGTTTCAAATCTGCTCTCTCTAAAGCAAGGTTCAACTCTGTGAGTTGAATACACACAACACAAAAAAGTTACTGAGAACTCTTCTTAGTCTAGCATGAAAGGAAGAAACCCCGTTTGCAACGAAGGCCTCAAAGAGGTCCAAATATCCACTTGCAGACATAACAAGCAGAGTGTTTCTAAACTGCTCTAAGAAAAGAAAGGTTAAACTCTGTGAGTTGAAGGCACACATCACAAAGTAGTTTCTGAGAATGATTCTGTCTAGTTTTTATTTGAAGATATTTCCTTTTCTACTGTTGGCATCAAATCGCTTGAAATCTCCACTTGCAAACTCCACAAAAAGAGTGTTTCAAATCTGCTCTGTGTAAAGGGACGTTCCACTCTGTGAGTTGAATACACACAGCACAAAGAAGTTACTGAGTATTCTCTGTCTAGCATGAAATGAAGAAATCCCGTTTCCAACGAAGGCCTCAATGCGGTCAATATATCCACTTGCAGACATCACAAACAGAGTGTTTCCAAACTGCTCTATGAAAAGAAAGGTTAAACTATGTGAGTTGAACGCACACATCACAAAGAATTTTCTGAGAATGATTCTGTCTGGTTTTTATTTGAAGATGTTTCCCTTTCTACTGTTGGCATCAAATGGCTAGAAATCTCCACTTGCAAATTCCGCAAAAAGAGTGTTTCAAATCTGCTCTGTCCAAAGGGACGTTCCACTCTGTCAGTTGAATGCACACAACACAAAGAATTTACTGAGAATTCTTCCGTCTAGCATTCAATGAAGAAATCCCGTTTCCAACGAAGGCCTCAAACAGGTCCATATATCCAATTGCAGACTTTACAAACAGTGTGTTTCCAAACTCCTCTATGAAAAGAAAGGTTAAACTCTGTGAGTTGAACGCACACATCACAAAGCACTTTCTGAGAATGATTCTGTCTGGTTATTATACGAAGATATTTCCTTTTCTGCAATTGTCCTCAAATCGCTTGAAATCTCCACCTGAAAATGCCACAGCAAGAGTGTTTCAAATCTGCTCTCTCTAAAGCAAGGTTCAACTCTGTGAGTTGAATACACACAACACAAAAAAGTTACTGAGAACTCTTCTTAGTCTAGCATGAACGGAAGAAACCCCGTTTGCAATGAAGGCCTCAAAGAGGTCCAAATATCCACTTGCAGACATAACAAGCAGAGTGTTTCTAAACTGCTCTAAGAAAAGAAAGGTTAAACTCTGTGAGTTGAAGGCACACATCACAAAGTAGTTTCTGAGAATGATTCTGTCTAGTTTTTATTTGAAGATATTTCCTTTTCTACTGTTGGCATCAAATCGCTTGAAATCTCCACTTGCAAACTCCACAAACAGAGTGTTTCAAATCTGCTCTGTGTAAAGGGACGTTCCACTCTGTGAGTTGAATACACACAGCACAAAGAAGTTACTGAGAATTCTTCTGTCTAGCATGAAATGAAGAAATCCCGTTTCCAACGAAGGCCTCAATGCGGTCCATATATCCACTTGCAGACTTTACAAACAGAGTGTTTCCAAACTGCTCTATGAAAAGAAAGGTTAAACTATGTGAGTTGAACGCACACATCACAAAGAATTTTCTGAGAATGATTCTGTCTGGTTTTTATTTGAAGATATTTCCCTTTCTACTGTTGGCATCAAATGGCTAGAAATCTCCACTTGCAAATTCCGCAAAAAGAGTGTTTCAAATCTGCTCTGTCTAAAGGGACGTTCCACTCTGTGAGTTGAATGCACACAACACAAAGAATTTACTGAGAATTCTTCCGTCTAGCATTCAATGAAGAAATCCCGTTTCCAACGGAGGCCTCAAACAGGTCCATATATCCAATTGCAGACTTTACAAACAGTGTGTTTCCAAGCTCCTCTATGAAAAGAAAGGTTAAACTCTGTGAGTTGAACGCACACATCACAAAGCACTTTCTGAGAATGATTCTGTCTGGTTATTATACGAAGAAATTTCCTTTTCTGCAATTGTCCTCAAATCGCTTGAAATCTCCACCTGAAAATGCCACAGCAAGAGTGTTTCAAATCTGCTCTCTCTAAAGCAAGGTTCAACTCTGTGAGTTGAATACACACAACACAAAAAAGTTACTGAGAACTCTTCTTAGTCTAGCATGAAAGGAAGAAACCCCGTTTGCAACGAAGGCCTCAAAGAGGTCCAAATATCCACTTGCAGACATAACAAGCAGAGTGTTTCTAAACTGCTCTAAGAAAAGAAAGGTTAAACTCTGTGAGTTGAAGGCACACATCACAAAGTAGTTTCTGAGAATGATTCTGTCTAGTTTTTATTTGAAGATATTTCCTTTTCTACTGTTGGCATCAAATCGCTTGAAATCTCCACTTGCAAACTCCACAAAAAGAGTGTTTCAAATCTGCTCTGTGCAAAGGGACGTTCCACTCTGTGAGTTGAATACACACAGCACAAAGAAGTTACTGAGAATTCTTCTGTCTAGCATGAAATGAAGAAATCCCGTTTCCAACGAAGGCCTCAATGCGGTCCATATATCCACTTGCAGACTTTACAAACAGAGTGTTTCCAAACTGCTCTATGAAAAGAAAGGTTAAACTATGTGAGTTGAACGCACACATCACAAAGAATTTTCTGAGAATGATTCTGTCTGGTTTTTATTTGAAGATATTTCCCTTTCTACTGTTGGCATCAAATGGCTAGAAATCTCCACTTGCAAATTCCGCAAAAAGAGTGTTTCAAATCTGCTCTGTCTAAAGGGACGTTCCACTCTGTGAGTTGAATGCACACAACACAAAGAATTTACTGAGAATTCTTCCGTCTAGCATTCAATGAAGAAATCCCTTTTCCAACGAAGGCCTCAAACAGGTCCATATATCCACTTGCAGACTTTACAAACAGTGTGTTTCCAAACTCCTCTATGAAAAGAAAGGTTAAACTCTGTGAGTGGAACGCACACATCACAAAGCACTTTCTGAGAATGATTCTGTCTGGTTATTATACGAAGATATTTCCTTTTCTGCAATTGTCCTCAAATCGCTTGAAATCTCCACCTGAAAATGCCACAGCAAGAGTGTTTCAAATCTGCTCTCTCTAAAGCAAGGTTCAACTCTGTGAGTTGAATACACACAACACAAAAAAGTTACTGAGAACTCTTCTTAGTCTAGCATGAAAGGAAGAAACCCCGTTTGCAACGAAGGCCTCAAAGAGGTCCAAATATCCACTTGCAGACATAACAAGCAGAGTGTTTCTAAACTGCTCTAAGAAAAGAAAGGTTAAACTCTGTGAGTTGAAGGCACACATCACAAAGTAGTTTCTGAGAATGATTCTGTCTAGTTTTTATTTGAAGATATTTCCTTTTCTACTGTTGGCATCAAATCGCTTGAAATCTCCACTTGCAAACTCCACAAAAAGAGTGTTTCAAATCTGCTCTGTGCAAAGGGATGTTCCACTCTGTGAGTTGAATACACACAGCACAAAGAAGTTACTGAGAATTCTTCTGTCTAGTATGAAATGAAGAAATCCCGTTTCCAACGAAGGCCTCAATGCGGTCCATATATCCACTTGCAGACTTTACAAACAGAGTGTTTCCAAACTGCTCCATGAAAAGAAAGGTTAAACTATGTGAGTTGAACGCACACATCACAAAGAATTTTCTGAGAATGATTCTGTCTGGTTTTTATTTGAAGATATTTCCCTTTGTACTGTTGGCATCAAATGGCTAGAAATCTCCACTTGCAAATTCCGCAAAAAGAGTGTTTCAAATCTGCTCTGTCTAAAGGGACGTTCCACTCTGTGAGTTGAATGCACACAACACAAAGAATTTACTGAGAATTCTTCCGTCTAGCATTCAATGAAGAAATCCCGTTTCCAACGAAGGCCTCAAACAGGTCCATATATCCACTTGCAGACTTTACAAACAGTGTGTTTCCAAACTCCTCTATGAAAAGAAAGGTTAAACTCTGTGAGTGGAACGCACACATCACAAAGCACTTTCTGAGAATGATTCTGTCTGGTTATTATACGAAGATATTTCCTTTTCTGCAATTGTCCTCAAATCGCTTGAAATCTCCACCTGAAAATGCCACAGCAAGAGTGTTTCAAATCTGCTCTCTCTAAAGCAAGGTTCAACTCTGTGAGTTGAATACACACAACACAAAAAAGTTACTGAGAACTCTTCTTAGTCTAGCATGAAAGGAAGAAACCCCGTTTGCAACGAAGGCCTCAAAGAGGTCCAAATATCCACTTGCAGACATAACAAGCAGAGTGTTTCTAAACTGCTCTAAGAAAAGAAAGGTTAAACTCTGTGAGTTGAAGGCACACATCACAAAGTAGTTTCTGAGAATGATTCTGTCTAGTTTTTATTTGAAGATATTTCCTTTTCTACTGTTGGCATCAAATCGCTTGAAATCTCCACTTGCAAACTCCACAAAAAGAGTGTTTCAAATCTGCTCTGTGCAAAGGGACGTTCCACTCTGTGAGTTGAATACACACAGCACAAAGAAGTTACTGA
Organism: Homo sapiens; assembly: GCF_000001405.40. Lineage (NCBI taxonomy): Eukaryota > Metazoa > Chordata > Mammalia > Primates > Hominidae > Homo > Homo sapiens. The sequence goes on along the minus strand of NC_000007.14, from coordinate 58,467,702 downwards.
GAATTCTTCTGTCTAGCATGAAATGAAGAAATCCCGTTTCCAACGAAGGCCTCAATGCGGTCCATATATCCACTTGCAGACTTTACAAACAGAGTGTTTCCAAACTGCTCTATGAAAAGAAAGGTTGAACTATGTGAGTTGAACGCACACATCACAAAGAATTTTCTGAGAATGATTCTGTCTGGTTTTTATTTGAAGATATTTCCCTTTCTACTGTTGGCATCAAATGGCTAGAAATCTCCACTTGCAAATTCCGCAAAAAGAGTGTTTCAAATCTGCTCTGTCTAAAGGGACGTTCCACTCTGTGAGTTGAATGCACACAACACAAAGAATTTACTGAGAATTCTTCCGTCTAGCATTCAATGAAGAAATCCCGTTTCCAACGAAGGCCTCAAACAGGTCCATATATCCAATTGCAGACTTTACAAACAGTGTGTTTCCAAACTCCTCTATGAAAAGAAAGGTTAAACTCTGTGAGTGGAACGCACACATCACAAAGCACTTTCTGAGAATGATTCTGTCTGGTTATTATACGAAGATATTTCCTTTTCTGCAATTGTCCTCAAATCGCTTGAAATCTCCACCTGAAAATGCCACAGCAAGAGTGTTTCAAATCTGCTCTCTCTAAAGCAAGGTTCAACTCTGTGAGTTGAATACACACAACACAAAAAAGTTACTGAGAACTCTTCTTAGTCTAGCATGAAAGGAAGAAACCCCGTTTGCAACGAAGGCCTCAAAGAGGTCCAAATATCCACTTGCAGACATAACAAGCAGAGTGTTTCTAAACTGCTCTAAGAAAAGAAAGGTTAAGCTCTGTGAGTTGAAGGCACACATCACAAAGTAGTTTCTGAGAATGATTCTGTCTAGTTTTTATTTGAAGATATTTCCTTTTCTACTGTTGGCATCAAATCGCTTGAAATCTCCACTTGCAAACTCCACAAAAAGAGTGTTTCAAATCTGCTCTGTGTAAAGGGACGTTCCACTCTGTGAGTTGAATACACACAGCACAAAGAAGTTACTGAGAATTCTTCTGTCTAGCATGAAATGAAGAAATCCCGTTTCCAACGAAGGCCTCAATGCGGTCCATATATCCACTTGCAGACTTTACAAACAGAGTGTTTCCAAACTGCTCTATGAAAAGAAAGGTTAAACTATGTGAGTTGAATGCACACATCACAAAGAATTTTCTGAGAATGATTCTGTCTGGTTTTTATTTGAAGATATTTCCCTTTCTACTGTTGGCATCAAATGGCTAGAAATCTCCACTTGCAAATTCCGCAAAAAGAGTGTTTCAAATCTGCTCTGTCTAAAGGGACGTTCCACTCTGTGAGTTGAATGCACACCACACAAAGAATTTACTGAGAATTCTTCCGTCTAGCATTCAATGAAGAAATCCCGTTTCCAACGAAGGCCTCAAACAGGTCCATATATCCAATTGCAGACTTTACAAACAGTGTGTTTCCAAACTCCTCTATGAAAAGAAAGGTTAAACTCTGTGAGTTGAACGCACACATCACAAAGCACTTTCTGAGAATGATTCTGTCTGGTTGTTATACGAAGATATTTCCTTTTCTGCAATTGTCCTCAAATCGCTTGAAATCTCCACCTGAAAATGCCACAGCAAGAGTGTTTCAAATCTGCTCTCTCTAAAGCAAGGTTCAACACTGTGAGTTGAATACACACAACACAAAAAAGTTACTGAGAACTCTTCTTAGTCTAGCATGAAAGGAAGAAACCCCGTTTGCAACGAAGGCCTCAAAGAGGTCCAAATATCCACTTGCAGACATAACAAGCAGAGTGTTTCTAAACTGCTCTAAGAAAAGAAAGGTTAAACTCTGTGAGTTGAAGGCACACATCACAAAGTAGTTTCTGAGAATGATTCTGTCTAGTTTTTATTTGAAGATATTTCCTTTTCTACTGTTGGCATCAAATCGCTTGAAATCTCCACTTGCAAACTCCACAAAAAGAGTGTTTCAAATCTGCTCTGTGCAAAGGGACGTTCCACTCTGTGAGTTGAATACACACAGCACAAAGAAGTTACTGAGAATTCTTCTGTCTAGCATGAAATGAAGAAATCCCGTTTCCAACGAAGGCCTCAATGCGGTCCATATATCCACTTGCAGACTTTACAAACAGAGTGTTTCCAAACTGCTCTATGAAAAGAAAGGTTAAACTATGTGAGTTGAACGCACACATCACAAAGAATTTTCTGAGAATGATTCTGTCTGGTTTTTATTTGAAGATATTTCCCTTTCTACTGTTGGCATCAAATGGCTAGAAATCTCCACTTGCAAATTCCGCAAAAAGAGTGTTTCAAATCTGCTCTGTCTAAAGGGACGTTCCACTCTGTGAGTTGAATGCACACAACACAAAGAATTTACTGAGAATTCTTCCGTCTAGCATTCAATGAAGAAATCCCGTTTCCAACGAAGGCCTCAAACAGGTCCATATATCCACTTGCAGACTTTACAAACAGTGTGTTTCCAAACTCCTCTATGAAAAGAAAGGTTAAACTCCTGTGAGTTGAACGCACACATCACAAAGCACTTTCTGAGAATGATTCTGTCTGGTTGTTATACGAAGATATTTCCTTTTCTGCAATTGTCCTCAAATCGCTTGAAATCTCCAACTGAAAATGCCACAGCAAGAGTGTTTCAAATCTGCTCTCTCTAAAGCATGGTTCAACTCTGTGAGTTGAATACACACAACACAAAAAAGTTACTGAGAACTCTTCTTAGTCTAGCATGAAAGGAAGAAACCCCGTTTGCAACGAAGGCCTCAAAGAGGTCCAAATATCCACTTGCAGACATAACAAGCAGAGTGTTTCTAAACTGCTCTAAGAAAAGAAAGGTTAAACTATGTGAGTTGAACGCACACATCACAAAGAATTTTCTGAGAATGATTCTGTCTGGTTTTTATTTGAAGATATTTCCCTTTCTACTGTTGGCATCAAATGGCTAGAAATCTCCACTTGCAAATTCCGCAAAAAGAGTGTTTCAAATCTGCTCTGTCTAAAGGGACGTTCCACTCTGTGAGTTGAATGCACACAACACAAAGAATTTACTGAGAATTCTTCCGTCTAGCATTCAATGAAGAAATCCCGTTTCCAACGAAGGCCTCAAACAGGTCCATATATCCACTTGCAGACTTTACAAACAGTGTGTTTCCAAACTCCTCTATGAAAAGAAAGGTTAAACTCTGTGAGTGGAACGCACACATCACAAAGCACTTTCTGAGAATGATTCTGTCTGGTTATTATACGAAGATATTTCCTTTTCTGCAATTGTCCTCAAATCGCTTGAAATCTCCACCTGAAAATGCCACAGCAAGAGTGTTTCAAATCTGCTCTCTCTAAAGCAAGGTTCAACTCTGTGAGTTGAATACACACAACACAAAAAAGTTACTGAGAACTCTTCTTAGTCTAGCATGAAAGGAAGAAACCCCGTTTGCAACGAAGGCCTCAAAGAGGTCCAAATATCCACTTGCAGACATAACAAGCAGAGTGTTTCTAAACTGCTCTAAGAAAAGAAAGGTTAAACTCTGTGAGTTGAAGGCACACATCACAAAGTAGTTTCTGAGAATGATTCTGTCTAGTTTTTATTTGAAGATATTTCCTTTTCTACTGTTGGCATCAAATCGCTTGAAATCTCCACTTGCAAACTCCACAAAAAGAGTGTTTCAAATCTGCTCTGTGTAAAGGGACGTTCCACTCTGTGAGTTGAATACACACAGCACAAAGAAGTTACTGAGAATTCTTCTGTCTAGCATGAAATGAAGAAATCCCGTTTCCAACGAAGGCCTCAATGCGGTCCATAGATCCACTTGCAGACTTTACAAACAGAGTGTTTCCAAACTGCTCTATGAAAAGAAAGGTTAAACTATGTGAGTTGAACGCACACATCACAAAGAATTTTCTGAGAATGATTCTGTCTGGTTTTTATTTGAAGATATTTCCCTTTCTACTGTTGGCATCAAATGGCTAGAAATCTCCACTTGCAAATTCCGCAAAAAGAGTGTTTCAAATCTGCTCTGTCTAAAGGGACGTTCCACTCTGTGAGTTGAATGCACACAACACAAAGAATTTACTGAGAATTCTTCCGTCTAGCATTCAATGAAGAAATCCCGTTTCCAACGAAGGCCTCAAACAGGTCCATATATCCACTTGCAGAGTTTACAAACAGTGTGTTTCCAAACTCCTCTATGAAAAGAAAGGTTAAACTCTGTGAGTGGAACGCACACATCACAAAGCACTTTCTGAGAATGATTCTGTCTGGTTATTATACGAAGATATTTCCTTTTCTGCAATTGTCCTCAAATCGCTTGAAATCTCCACCTGAAAATGCCACAGCAAGAGTGTTTCAAATCTGCTCTCTCTAAAGCAAGGTTCAACTCTGTGAGTTGAATACACACAACACAAAAAAGTTACTGAGAACTCTTCTTAGTCTAGCATGAAAGGAAGAAACCCCGTTTGCAACGAAGGCCTCAAAGAGGTCCAAATATCCACTTGCAGACATAACAAGCAGAGTGTTTCTCAACTGCTCTAAGAAAAGAAAGGTTAAACTCTGTGAGTTGAAGGCAGACATCACAAAGTAGTTTCTGAGAATGATTCTGTCTAGTTTTTATTTGAAGATATTTCCTTTTCTACTGTTGGCATCAAATCGCTTGAAATCTCCACTTGCAAACTCCACAAAAAGAGTGTTTCAAATCTGCTCTGTGCAAAGGGACGTTCCACTCTGTGAGTTGAGTACACACAGCACAAAGAAGTTACTGAGAATTCTTCTGTCTAGCATGAAATGAAGAAATCCCGTTTCCAACGAAGGCCTCAATGCGGTCCATATATCCACTTGCAGACTTCACAAACAGAGTGTTTCCAAACTGCTCTATGAAAAGAAAGGTTTAACTATGTGAGTTGAACGCACACATCACAAAGAATTTTCTGAGAATGATTCTGTCTGGTTTTTATTTGAAGATATTTCCCTTTCTACTGTTGGCATCAAATGGCTAGAAATCTCCACTTGCAAATTCCGCAAAAAGAGTGTTTCAAATCTGCTCTGTCTAAAGGGACGTTCCACTCTGTCAGTTGAATGCACACAACACAAAGAATTTACTGAGAATTCTTCCGTCTAGCATTCAATGAAGAAATCCCGTTTCCAACGAAGGCCTCAAACAGGTCCATATATCCAATTGCAGACTTTACAAACAGTGTGTTTCCAAACTCCTCTATGAAAAGAAAGGTTAAACTCTGTGAGTTGAACGCACACATCACAAAGCACTTTCTGAGAATGATTCTGTCTGGTTGTTATACGAAGATATTTCCTTTTCTGCAATTGTCCTCAAATCGCTTGAAATCTCCACCTGAAAATGCCACAGCAAGAGTGTTTCAAATCTGCTCTCTCTAAAGCAAGGTTCAACTCTGTGAGTTGAATACACACAACACAAAAAATTTACTGAGAACTCTTCTTAGTCTAGCATTAAAGGAAGAAACCCCGTTTGCAACGAAGGCCTCAAAGAGGTCCAAATATCCACTTGCAGACATAACAAGCAGAGTGTTTCTAAACTGCTCTAAGAAAAGAAAGGTTAAACTCTGTGAGTTGAAGGCACACATCACAAAGTAGTTTCTGAGAATGATTCTGTCTAGTTTTTATTTGAAGATATTTCCTTTTCTACTGTTGGCATCAAATCGCTTGAAATCTCCACTTGCAAATTCCACAAAAAGAGTGTTTCAAATCTGCTCTGTGCAAAGGGACGTTCCACTCTGTGAGTTGAATACACACAGCACAAAGAAGTTACTGAGAATTCTTCTGTCTAGCATGAAATGAAGAAATCCCGTTTCCAACGAAGGCCTCAATGCGGTCCATATATCCACTTGCAGACTTTACAAACAGAGTGTTTCCAAACTGCTCTATGAAAAGAAAGGTTAAACTATGTGAGTTGAACGCACACATCACAAAGAATTTTCTGAGAATGATTCTGTCTGGTTTTTATTTGAAGATGTTTCCCTTTCTACTGTTGGCATCAAATGGCTAGAAATCTCCACTTGCAAATTCCGCAAAAAGAGTGTTTCAAATCTGCTCTGTCTAAAGGGACGTTCCACTCTGTGAGTTGAATGCACACAACACAAAGAATTTACTGAGAATTCTTCCGTCTAGCATTCAATGAAGAAATCCCGTTTCCAACGAAGGCCTCAAACAGGTGCATATATCCAATTGCAGACTTTACAAACAGTGTGTTTCCAAACTCCTCTATGAAAAGAAAGGTTAAACTCTGTGAGTTGAACGAACACATCACAAAGCACTTTCTGAGAATGATTCTGTCTGGTTGTTATACGAAGATATTTCCTTTTCTGCAATTGTCCTCAAATCGCTTGAAATCTCCACCTGAAAATGCCACAGCAAGAGTGTTTCAAATCTGCTCTCTCTAAAGCAAGGTTCAACTCTGTGAGTTGAATACACACAACACAAAAAAGTTACTGAGAACTCTTCTTAGTCTAGCATGAAAGGAAGAAACCCCGTTTGCAACGAAGGCCTCAAAGAGGTCCAAATATCCACTTGCAGACATAACAAGCAGAGTGTTTCTAAACTGCTCTAAGAAAAGAAAGGTTAAACTCTGTGAGTTGAAGGCACACATCACAAAGTAGTTTCTGAGAATGATTCTGTCTAGTTTTTATTTGAAGATATTTCCTTTTCTACTGTTGGCATCAAATCGCTTGAAATCTCCACTTGCAAATTCCACAAAAAGAGTGTTTCAAATCTGCTCTGTGCAAAGGGACGTTCCACTCTGTGAGTTGAATACACACAGCACAAAGAAGTTACTGAGAATTCTTCTGTCTAGCATGAAATGAAGAAATCCCGTTTCCAACGAAGGCCTCAATGCGGTCCATATATCCACTTGCAGACTTTACAAACAGAGTGTTTCCAAACTGCTCTATGAAAAGAAAGGTTAAACTATGTGAGTTGAACGCACACATCACAAAGAATTTTCTGAGAATGATTCTGTCTGGTTTTTATTTGAAGATGTTTCCCTTTCTACTGTTGGCATCAAATGGCTAGAAATCTCCACTTGCAAATTCCGCAAAAAGAGTGTTTCAAATCTGCTCTGTCCAAAGGGACGTTCCACTCTGTCAGTTGAATGCACACAACACAAAGAATTTACTGAGAATTCTTCCGTCTAGCATTCAATGAAGAAATCCCGTTTCCAACGAAGGCCTCAAACAGGTCCATATATCCAATTGCAGACTTTACAAACAGTGTGTTTCCAAACTCCTCTATGGAAAGAAAGGTTAAACTCTGTGAGTTGAACGCACACATCACAAAGCACTTTCTGAGAATGATTCTGTCTGGTTATTATAGGAAGATATTTCCTTTTCTGCAATTGTCCTCAAATCGCTTGAAATCTCCACCTGAAAATGGCACAGCAAGAGTGTTTCAAATCTGCTCTCTCTAAAGCAAGGTTCAACTCTGTGAGTTGAATACACACAACACAAAAAAGTTACTGAGAACTCTTCTTAGTCTAGCATGAAAGGAAGAAACCCCGTTTGCAACGAAGGCCTCAAAGAGGTCCAAATATCCACTTGCAGACATAACAAGCAGAGTGTTTCTAAACTGCTCTAAGAAAAGAAAGGTTAAACTCTGTGAGTTGAAGGCACACATCACAAAGTAGTTTCTGAGAATGATTCTGTCTAGTTTTTATTTGAAGATATTTCCTTTTCTACTGTTGGCATCAAATCGCTTGAAATCTCCACTTGCAAATTCCACAAAAAGAGTGTTTCAAATCTGCTCTGTGCAAAGGGACGTTCCACTCTGTGAGTTGAATACACACAGCACAAAGAAGTTACTGAGAATTCTTCTGTCTAGCATGAAATGAAGAAATCCCGTTTCCAACGAAGGCCTCAATGCGGTCCATATATCCACTTGCAGACTTTACAAACAGAGTGTTTCCAAACTGCTCTATGAAAAGAAAGGTTAAACTATGTGAGTTGAACGCACACATCACAAAGAATTTTCTGAGAATGATTCTGTCTGGTTTTTATTTGAAGATATTTCCCTTTCTACTGTTGGCATCAAACGGCTAGAAATCTCCACTTGCAAATTCCGCAAAAAGAGTGTTTCAAATCTGCTCTGTCTAAAGGGACGTTCCACTCTGTGAGTTGAATGCACACAACACAAAGAATTTACTGAGAATTCTTCCGTCTAGCATTCAATGAAGAAATCCCGTTTCCAACGAAGGCCTCAAACAGGTCCATATATCCACTTGCAGACTTTACAAACAGTGTGTTTCCAAACTCCTCTATGAAAAGAAAGGTTAAACTCTGTGAGTGGAACGCACACATCACAAAGCACTTTCTGAGAATGATTCTGTCTGGTTATTATACGAAGATATTTCCTTTTCTGCAATTGTCCTCAAATCGCTTGAAATCTCCACCTGAAAATGCCACAGCAAGAGTGTTTCAAATCTGCTCTCTCTAAAGCAAGGTTCAACTCTGTGAGTTGAATACACACAACACAAAAAAGTTACTGAGAACTCTTCTTAGTCTAGCATGAAAGGAAGAAACCCCGTTTGCAACGAAGGCCTCAAAGAGGTCCAAATATCCACTTGCAGACATAACAAGCAGAGTGTTTCTAAACTGCTCTAAGAAAAGAAAGGTTAAACTCTGTGAGTTGAAGGCACACATCACAAAGTAGTTTCTGAGAATGATTCTGTCTAGTTTTTATTTGAAGATATTTCTTTTTCTACTGTTGGCATCAAATCGCTTGAAATCTCCACTTGCAAATTCCACAAAAAGAGTGTTTCAAATCTGCTCTGTGTAAAGGGACGTTCCACTCTGTGAGTTGAATACACACAGCACAAAGAAGTTACTGAGAATTCTTCTGTCTAGCATGAAATGAAGAAATCCCGTTTCCAACGAAGGCCTCAATGCGGTCTATATATCCACTTGCAGACTTTACAAACAGAGTGTTTCCAAACTGCTCTATGAAAAGAAAGGTTAAACTATGTGAGTTGAACGCACACATCACAAAGAATTTTCTGAGAATGATTCTGTCTGGTTTTTATTTGAAGATATTTCCCTTTCTACTGTTGGCATCAAATGGCTAGAAATCTCCACTTGCAAATTCCGCAAAAAGAGTGTTTCAAATCTGCTCTGTCTAAAGGGACGTTCCACTCTGTGAGTTGAATGCACACAACACAAAGAATTTACTGAGAATTCTTCCGTCTAGCATTCAATGAAGAAATCCCGTTTCCAACGAAGGCCTCAAACAGGTCCATATATCCAATTGCAGACTTTACAAACAGTGTGTTTCCAAACTCCTCTATGAAAAGAAAGGTTAAACTCTGTGAGTTGAACGCACACATCACAAAGCACTTTCTGAGAATGATTCTGTCTGGTTATTATACGAAGATATTTCCTTTTCTGCAATTGTCCTCAAATCGCTTGAAATCTCCACCTGAAAATGCCACAGCAAGAGTGTTTCAAATCTGCTCTCTCTAAAGCAAGGTTCAACTCTGTGAGTTGAATACACACAACACGAAAAAGTTACTGAGAACTCTTCTTAGTCTAGCATGAAAGGAAGAAACCCCGTTTGCAACGAAGGCCTCAAAGAGGTCCAAATATCCACTTGCAGACATAACAAGCAGAGTGTTTCTAAACTGCTCTAAGAAAAGAAAGGTTAAACTCTGTGAGTTGAAGGCACACATCACAAAGTAGTTTCTGAGAATGATTCTGTCTAGTTTTTATTTGAAGATATTTCCTTTTCTACTGTTGGCATCAAATCGCTTGAAATCTCCACTTGCAAACTCCACAAAAAGAGTGTTTCAAATCTGCTCTGTGCAAAGGGATGTTCCACTCTGTGAGTTGAATACACACAGCACAAAGAAGTTACTGAGAATTCTTCTGTCTAGTATGAAATGAAGAAATCCCGTTTCCAACGAAGGCCTCAATGCGGTCCATATATCCACTTGCAGACTTTACAAACAGAGTGTTTCCAAACTGCTCCATGAAAAGAAAGGTTAAACTATGTGAGTTGAACGCACACATCACAAAGAATTTTCTGAGAATGATTCTGTCTGGTTTTTATTTGAAGATATTTCCCTTTCTACTGTTGGCATCAAATGGCTAGAAATCTCCACTTGCAAATTCCGCAAAAAGAGTGTTTCAAATCTGCTCTGTCTAAAGGGACGTTCCACTCTGTGAGTTGAATGCACACAACACAAAGAATTTACTGAGAATTCTTCCGTCTAGCATTCAATGAAGAAATCCCGTTTCCAACGAAGGCCTCAAACAGGTCCATATATCCAATTGCAGACTTTACAAACAGTGTGTTTCCAAACTCCTTTATGAAAAGAAAGGTTAACTCTGTGAGTTGAATGCACACATCACAAAGCACTTTCTGATAATGATTCTGTCTAGTTTTTGTTTGCAGATATTTCCTTTTCTACTGTTGGCATCAAATCGCTTGAAATCTCCACTTGCAAATTCCACAAAAAGAGTGTTTCAAATCTGCTCTGTGTAAAGGGACGTTCCAATCTGTGAGTTGAATACACACAACACAAAGAAGTTACTGAGAATTCTTCTGTCTAGCATGAAATGAAGAAATCCCGTTTCCAACGAAGGCCTCAAAGCGGTCCATATATCCACTTGCAGACATTACCAACAGAGTGTTCCCAAACTGCTCTATGAAAAGAAAGGTTAAACTATGTGAGTTGAACGCACACATCACAAAGAATTTTCTGAGAATGATTCTGTCTGGTTTTTATTTGAAGATATTTCCCTTTCTACTGTTGGCATCAAATGGCTAGAAATCTCCACTTGCAAATTCCGCAAAAAGAGTGTTTCAAATCTGCTCTGTCTAAAGGGACGTTCCACTCTGTGAGTTGAATGCACACAACACAAAGAATTTACTGAGAATTCTTCCGTCTAGCATTCAGTGAAGAAATCCCGTTTCCAACGAAGGCCTCAAACAGGTCCATATATCCAATTGCAGACTTTACAAACAGTGTGTTTCCAAACTCCTCTATGAAAAGAAAGGTTAAACTCTGTGAGTTGAACGCACACATCACAAAGCACTTTCTGAGAATGATTCTGTCTGGTTATTATACGAAGATATTTCCTTTTCGGCAATTGTCCTCAAATCGCTTGAAATCTCCACCTGAAAATTCCACAGCGAGAGTGTTTCAAATCTGCTCTCTCTAAAGCAAGGTTCAACTCTGTGAGTTGAATACACACAACACAAAAAAGTTACTGAGAACTGTTCTTAGTCTAGCATGAAAGGAAGAAACCCCGTTTGCAACGAAGGCCTCAAAGAGGTCCAAATATCCACTTGCAGACATAACAAGCAGAGTGTTTCTAAACTGCTCTAAGAAAAGAAAGGTTAAACTCTGTGAGTTGAAGGCACACATCACAAAGTAGTTTCTGAGAATGATTCTGTCTAGTTTTTATTTGAAGATATTTCCTTTTCTACTGTTGGCATCAAATCGCTTGAAATCTCCACTTGCAAATTCCACAAAAAGAGTGTTTCAAATCTGCTCTGTGCAAAGGGACGTTCCACTCTGTGAGTTGAATACACACAGCACAAAGAAGTTACTGAGAATTCTTCTGTCTAGCATGAAATGAAGAAATCCCGTTTCCAACGAAGGCCTCAATGCGGTCCATATATCCACTTGCAGACTTTACAAACAGAGTGTTTCCAAACTGCTCTATGAAAAGAAAGGTTAAACTATGTGAGTTGAACGCACACATCACAAAGAATTTTCTGAGAATGATTCTGTCTGGTTTTTATTTGAAGATATTTCCCTTTCTACTGTTGGCATCAAATGGCTAGAAATCTCCACTTGCAAATTCCGCAAAAAGAGTGTTTCAAATCTGCTCTGTCTAAAGGGACGTTCCACTCTGTGAGTTGAATGCACACAACACAAAGAATTTACTGAGAATTCTTCCGTCTAGCAGTCAATGAAGAAATCCCGTTTCCAACGAAGGCCTCAAACAGGTCCATATATCCAATTGCAGACTTTACAAACAGTGTGTTTCCAAACTCCTCTATGAAAAGAAAGGTTAAACTCTGTGAGTTGAACGCACACATCACAAAGCACTTTCTGAGAATGATTCTGTCTGGTTGTTATACGAAGATATTTCCTTTTCTGCAATTGTCCTCAAATCGCTTGAAATCTCCACCTGAAAATGCCACAGCAAGAGTGTTTCAAATCTGCTCTCTCTAAAGCAAGGTTCAACTCTGTGAGTTGAATACACACAACACAAAAAAGTTACTGAGAACTCTTCTTAGTCTAGCATTAAAGGAAGAAACCCCGTTTGCAACGAAGGCCTCAAAGAGGTCCAAATATCCACTTGCAGACATAACAAGCAGAGTGTTTCTAAACTGCTCTAAGAAAAGAAAGGTTAAACTCTGTGAGTTGAAGGCACACATCACAAAGTAGTTTCTGAGAATGATTCTGTCTAGTTTTTATTTGAAGATATTTCCTTTTCTACTGTTGGCATCAAATCGCTTGAAATCTCCACTTGCAAATTCCACAAAAAGAGTGTTTCTAATCTGCTCTGTGCAAAGGGACGTTCCAGTCTGTGAGTTGAATACACACAGCACAAAGAAGTTACTGAGAATTCTTCTGTCTAGCATGAAATGAAGAAATCCCGTTTCCAACGAAGGCCTCAATGCGGTCCATATATCCACTTGCAGACTTTACAAACAGAGTGTTTCCAAACTGCTCTATGAAAAGAAAGGTTAAACTATGTGAGTTGAACGCACACATCACAAAGAATTTTCTGAGAATGATTCTGTCTGGTTTTTATTTGAAGATATTTCCCTTTCTACTGTTGGCATCAAATGGCTAGAAATCTCCACTTGCAAATTCCGCAAAAAGAGTGTTTCAAATCTGCTCTGTCTAAAGGGACGTTCCACTCTGTGAGTTGAATGCACACAACACAAAGAATTTACTGAGAATTCTTCCGTCTAGCATTCAATGAAGAAATCCCGTTTCCAACGAAGGCCTCAAACAGGTCCATATATCCACTTGCAGACTTTACAAACAGTGTGTTTCCAAACTCCTCTATGAAAAGAAAGGTTAAACTCTGTGAGTGGAACGCACACATCACAAAGCACTTTCTGAGAATGATTCTGTCTGGTTATTATACGAAGATATTTCCTTTTCTGCAATTGTCCTCAAATCGCTTGAAATCTCCACCTGAAAATGCCACAGCAAGAGTGTTTCAAATCTGCTCTCTCTAAAGCAAGGTTCAACTCTGTGAGTTGAATACACACAACACAAAAAAGTTACTGAGAACTCTTCTTAGTCTAGCATTAAAGGAAGAAACCCCGTTTGCAACGAAGGCCTCAAAGAGGTCCAAATATCCACTTGCAGACATAACAAGCAGAGTGTTTCTAAACTGCTCTAAGAAAAGAAAGGTTAAACTCTGTGAGTTGAAGGCACACATCACAAAGTAGTTTACTGAGAATGATTCTGTCTAGTTTTTATTTGAAGATATTTCCTTTTCTACTGTTGGCATCAAATCGCTTGAAATCTCCACTTGCAAACTCCACAAAAAGAGTGTTTCAAATCTGCTCTGTGCAAAGGGACGTTCCACTCTGTGAGTTGAATACACACAGCACAAAGAAGTTACTGAGAATTCTTCTGTCTAGCATGAAATGAAGAAATCCCGTTTCCAACGAAGGCCTCAATGCGGTCCATATATCCACTTGCAGACTTTACAAACAGAGTGTTTCCAAACTGCTCTATGAAAAGAAAGGTTAAACTATGTGAGTTGAACGCACACATCACAAAGAATTTTCTGAGAATGATTCTGTCTGGTTTTTATTTGAAGATATTTCCCTTTCTACTGTTGGCATCAAATGGCTAGAAATCTCCACTTGCAAATTCCGCAAAAATAGTGTTTCAAATCTGCTCTGTCTAAAGGGACGTTCCACTCTGTGAGTTGAATGCACACCACACAAAGAATTTACTGAGAATTCTTCCGTCTAGCATTCAATGAAGAAATCCCGTTTCCAACGAAGGCCTCAAACAGGTCCATATATCCAATTGCAGACTTTACAAACAGTGTGTTTCCAAACTCCTCTATGAAAAGAAAGGTTAAACTCTGTGAGTTGAACGCACACATCACAAAGCACTTTCTGAGAATGATTCTGTCTGGTTGTTATACGAAGATATTTCCTTTTCTGCAATTGTCCTCAAATCGCTTGAAATCTCCACCTGAAAATGCCACAGCAAGAGTGTTTCAAATCTGCTCTCTCTAAAGCAAGGTTCAGCTCTGTGAGTTGAATACACACAACACAAAAAAGTTACTGAGAACTCTTCTTAGTCTAGCATTAAAGGAAGAAACCCCGTTTGCAACGAAGGCCTCAAAGAGGTCCAAATATCCACTTGCAGACATAACAAGCAGAGTGTTTCTAAACTGCTCTAAGAAAAGAAAGGTTAAACTCTGTGAGTTGAAGGCACACATCACAAAGTAGTTTCTGAGAATGATTCTGTCTAGTTTTTATTTGAAGATATTTCCTTTTCTACTGTTGGCATCAAATCGCTTGAAATCTCCACTTGCAAATTCCACAAAAAGAGTGTTTCAAATCTGCTCTGTGCAAAGGGACGTTCCACTCTGTGAGTTGAATACACACAGCACAAAGAAGTTACTGAGAATTCTTCTGTCTAGCATGAAATGAAGAAATCCCGTTTCCAACGAAGGCCTCAATGCGGTCCATATATCCACTTGCAGACTTTACAAACAGAGTGTTTCCAAACTGCTCTATGAAAAGAAAGGTTAAACTATGTGAGTTGAACGCACACATCACAAAGAATTTTCTGAGAATGATTCTGTCTGGTTTTTATTTGAAGATATTTCCCTTTCTACTGTTGGCATCAAATGGGTAGAAATCTCCACTTGCAAATTCCGCAAAAAGAGTGTTTCAAATCTGCTCTGTCTAAAGGGACGTTCCACTCTGTGAGTTGAATGCACACAACACAAAGAATTTACTGAGAATTCTTCCGTCTAGCATTCAATGAAGAAATTCCGTTTCCAACGAAGGCCTCAAACAGGTCCATATATCCACTTGCAGACTTTACAAACAGTGTGTTTCCAAACTCCTCTATGAAAAGAAAGGTTAAACTCTGTGAGTTGAACGCACACATCACAAAGCACTTTCTGAGAATGATTCTGTCTGGTTATTATACGAAGATATTTCCTTTTCTGCAATTGTCCTCAAATCGCTTGAAATCTCCACCTGAAAATGCCACAGCGAGAGTGTTTCAAATCTGCTCTCTCTAAAGCAAGGTTCAACTCTGTGAGTTGAATACACACAACACAAAAAAGTTACTGAGAACTCTTCTTAGTCTAGCATGAAAGGAAGAAACCCCGTTTGCAACGAAGGCCTCAAAGAGGTCCAAATATCCACTTGCAGACATAACAAGCAGAGTGTTTCTAAACTGCTCTAAGAAAAGAAAGGTTAAACTCTGTGAGTTGAAGGCACACATCACAAAGTAGTTTCTGAGAATGATTCTGTCTAGTTTTTATTTGAAGATATTTCCTTTTCTACTGTTGGCATCAAATCGCTTGAAATCTCCACTTGCAAACTCCACAAAAAGAGTGTTTCAAATCTGCTCTGTGTAAAGGGACGTTCCACTCTGTGAGTTGAATACACACAGCACAAAGAAGTTACTGAGAATTCTTCTGTCTAGCATGAAATGAAGAAATCCCGTTTCCAACGAAGGCCTCAATGCGGTCCATATATCCACTTGCAGACTTTACAAACAGAGTGTTTCCAAACTGCTCTATGAAAAGAAAGGTTAAACTATGTGAGTTGAACGCACACATCACAAAGAATTTTCTGAGAATGATTCTGTCTGGTTTTTATTTGAAGATATTTCCCTTTCTACTGTTGGCATCAAATGGCTAGAAATCTCCACTTGCAAATTCCGCAAAAAGAGTGTTTCAAATCTGCTCTGTCTAAAGGGACGTTCCACTCTGTGAGTTGAATGCACACAACACAAAGAATTTACTGAGAATTCTTCCGTCTAGCATTCAATGAAGAAATCCCGTTTCCAACGAAGGCCTCAAACAGGTCCATATATCCACTTGCAGACTTTACAAACAGTGTGTTTCCAAACTCCTCTATGAAAAGAAAGGTTAAACTCTGTGAGTTGAACGCACACATCACAAAGCACTTTCTGAGAATGATTCTGTCTGGTTATTATACGAAGATATTTCCTTTTCTGCAATTGTCCTCAAATCGCTTGAAATCTCCACCTGAAAATGCCACAGCAAGAGTGTTTCAAATCTGCTCTCTCTAAAGCAAGGTTCAACTCTGTGAGTTGAATACACGCAACACAAAAAAGTTACTGAGAACTCTTCTTAGTCTAGCATGAAAGGAAGAAACCCCGTTTGCAACGAAGGCCTCAAAGTAGGTCCAAATATCCACTTGCAGACATAACAAGCAGAGTGTTTCTAAACTGCTCTAAGAAAAGAAAGGTTAAACTCTGTGAGTTGAAGGCACACATCACAAAGTAGTTTCTGAGAATGATTCTGTCTAGTTTTTATTTGAAGATATTTCCTTTTCTACTGTTGGCATCAAATCGCTTGAAATCTCCACTTGCAAACTCCACAAAAAGAGTGTTTCAAATCTGCTCTGTGTAAAGGGACGTTCCACTCTGTGAGTTGAATACACACAGCACAAAGAAGTTACTGAGAATTCTTCTGTCTAGCATGAAATGAAGAAATCCCGTTTCCAACGAAGGCCTCAATGCGGTCCATATATCCACTTGCAGACTTTACAAACAGAGTGTTTCCAAACTGCTCTATGAAAAGAAAGGTTAAACTATGTGAGTTGAACGCACACATCACAAAGAATTTTCTGAGAATGATTCTGTCTGGTTTTTATTTGAAGATATTTCCCTTTCTACTGTTGGCATCAAATGGCTAGAAATCTCCACTTGCAAATTCCGCAAAAAGAGTGTTTCAAATCTGCTCTGTCTAAAGGGACGTTCCACTCTGTCAGTTGAATGCACACAACACAAAGAATTTACTGAGAATTCTTCCGTCTAGCATTCAATGAAGAAATCCCTTTTCCAAAGAAGGCCTCAAACAGGTCCCTATATCCAATTGCAGACTTCACAAACAGTGTGTTTCCAAACTCCTCTATGAAAAGAAAGGTTAAACTCTGTGAGTTGAACGCACACATCACAAAGCACTTTCTGAGAATGATTCTGTCTGGTTATTATACGAAGATATTTCCTTTTCTGCAATTGTCCTCAAATCGCTTGAAATCTCCACCTGAAAATGCCACAGCAAGAGTGTTTCAAATCTGCTCTCTCTAAAGCAAGGTTCAACTCTGTGAGTTGAATACACACAACACAAAAAAGTTACTGAGAACTCTTCTTAGTCTAGCATGAAAGGAAGAAACCCCGTTTGCAACGAAGGCCTCAAAGAGGTCCAAATATCCACTTGCAGACATAACAAGCAGAGTGTTTCTAAAGTGCTCTAAGAAAAGAAAGGTTAAACTCTGTGAGTTGAAGGCACACATCACAAAGTAGTTTCTGAGAATGATTCTGTCTAGTTTTTATTTGCAGATATTTCCTTTTCTACTGTTGGCATCAAATCGCTTGAAATCTCCACTTGCAATTTCCACAAAAAGAGTGTTTCAAATCTGCTCTGTGAAAAGGGACGTTCCACTCTGTGAGTTGAATACACACAGCACAAAGAAGTTACTGAGAATTCTTCTGTCTAGCATGAAATGAAGAAATCCCGTTTCCAACGAAGGCCTCAATGCGGTCCATAGATCCACTTGCAGACTTTACAAACAGAGTGTTTCCAAACTGCTCTATGAAAAGAAAGGTTAAACTATGTGAGTTGAACGCACACATCACAAAGAATTTTCTGAGAATGATTCTGTCTGGTTTTTATTTGAAGATATTTCCCTTTCTACTGTTGGCATCAAATGGCTAGAAATCTCCACTTGCAAATTCCGCAAAAAGAGTGTTTCAAATCTGCTCTGTCTAAAGGGACGTTCCACTCTGTCAGTTGAATGCACACAACACAAAGAATTTACTGAGAATTCTTCCGTCTAGCATTCAATGAAGAAATCCCGTTTCCAACGAAGGCCTCAAACAGGTCCATATATCCACTTGCAGACTTTACAAACAGTGTGTTTCCAAACTCCTCTATGAAAAGAAAGGTTAAACTCTGTGAGTGGAACGCACACATCACAAAGCACTTTCTGAGAATGATTCTGTCTGGTTATTATACGAAGATATTTCCTTTTCTGCAATTGTCCTCAAATCGCTTGAAATCTCCACCTGAAAATGCCACAGCAAGAGTGTTTCAAATCTGCTCTCTCTAAAGCAAGGTTCAACTCTGTGAGTTGAATACACACAACACAAAAAAGTTACTGAGAACTCTTCTTAGTCTAGCATGAAAGGAAGAAACCCCGTTTGCAACGAAGGCCTCAAAGAGGTCCAAATATCCACTTGCAGACATAACAAGCAGAGTGTTTCTAACCTGCTCTAAGAAAAGAAAGGTTAAACTCTGTGAGTTGAAGGCACACATCACAAAGTAGTTTCTGAGAATGATTCTGTCTAGTTTTTATTTGAAGATATTTCCTTTTCTACTGTTGGCATCAAATCGCTTGAAATCTCCACTTGCAAATTCCACAAAAAGAGTGTTTCAAATCTGCTCTGTGCAAAGGGACGTTCCACTCTGTGAGTTGAATACACACAGCACAAAGAAGTTACTGAGAATTCTTCTGTCTAGCATGAAATGAAGAAATCCCGTTTCCAACGAAGGCCTCAATGCGGTCCATATATCCACTTGCAGACTTTACAAACAGAGTGTTTCCAAACTGCTCTATGAAAAGAAAGGTTAAACTATGTGAGTTGAACGCACACATCACAAAGAATTTTCTGAGAATGATTCTGTCTGGTTTTTATTTGAAGATGTTTCCCTTTCTACTGTTGGCATCAAATGGCTAGAAATCTCCACTTGCAAATTCCGCAAAAAGAGTGTTTCAAATCTGCTCTGTCCAAAGGGACGTTCCACTCTGTCAGTTGAATGCACACAACACAAAGAATTTACTGAGAATTCTTCCGTCTAGCATTCAATGAAGAAATCCCGTTTCCAACGAAGGCCTCAAACAGGTCCATATATCCACTTGCAGACTTTACAAACAGTGTGTTTCCAAACTCCTCTATGGAAAGAAAGGTTAAACTCTGTGAGTTGAACGCACACATCACAAAGCACTTTCTGAGAATGATTCTGTCTGGTTATTATACGAAGATATTTCCTTTTCTGCAATTGTCCTCAAATCGCTTGAAATCTCCACCTGAAAATGCCACAGCAAGAGTGTTTCAAATCTGCTCTCTCTAAAGCAAGGTTCAACTCTGTGAGTTGAATACACACAACACAAAAAAGTTACTGAGAACTCTTCTTAGTCTAGCATTAAAGGAAGAAACCCCGTTTGCAACGAAGGCCTCAAAGAGGTCCAAATATCCACTTGCAGACATAACAAGCAGAGTGTTTCTAAAGTGCTCTAAGAAAAGAAAGGTTAAACTCTGTGAGTTGAAGGCACACATCACAAAGTAGTTTCTGAGAATGATTCTGTCTAGTTTTTATTTGAAGATATTTCCTTTTCTACTGTTGGCATCAAATCGCTTGAAATCTCCACTTGCAAACTCCACAAAAAGAGTGTTTCAAATCTGCTCTGTGTAAAGGGACGTTCCACTCTGTGAGTTGAATACACACAGCACAAAGAAGTTACTGAGAATTCTTCTGTCTAGCATGAAATGAAGAAATCCCGTTTCCAACGAAGGCCTCAATGCGGTCCATATATCCACTTGCAGACTTTACAAACAGAGTGTTTCCAAACTGCTCTATGAAAAGAAAGGTTAAACTATGTGAGTTGAACGCACACATCACAAAGAATTTTCTGAGAATGATTCTGTCTGGTTTTTATTTGAAGATATTTCCCTTTCTACTGTTGGCATCAAATGGCTAGAAATCTCCACTTGCAAATTCCGCAAAAAGAGTGTTTCAAATCTGCTCTGTCTAAAGGGACGTTCCACTCTGTGAGTTGAATGCACACAACACAAAGAATTTACTGAGAATTCTTCCGTCTAGCATTCAATGAAGAAATCCCGTTTCCAACGAAGGCCTCAAACAGGTCCATATATCCACTTGCAGACTTTACAAACAGTGTGTTTCCAAACTCCTCTATGAAAAGAAAGGTTAAACTCTGTGAGTGGAACGCACACATCACAAAGCACTTTCTGAGAATGATTCTGTCTGGTTATTATACGAAGATATTTCCTTTTCTGCAATTGTCCTCAAAACGCTTGAAATCTCCACCTGAAAATGCCACAGCAAGAGTGTTTCAAATCTGCTCTCTCTAAAGCAAGGTTCAACTCTGTGAGTTGAATACACACAACACAAAAAAGTTACTGAGAACTCTTCTTAGTCTAGCATGAAAGGAAGAAACCCCGTTTGCAACGAAGGCCTCAAAGAGGTCCAAATATCCACTTGCAGACATAACAAGCAGAGTGTTTCTAAACTGCTCTAAGAAAAGAAAGGTTAAACTCTGTGAGTTGAAGGCACACATCACAAAGTAGTTTCTGAGAATGATTCTGTCTAGTTTTTATTTGAAGATATTTCCTTTTCTACTGTTGGCATCAAATCGCTTGAAATCTCCACTTGCAAATTCCACAAAAAGAGTGTTTCAAATCTGCTCTGTGCAAAGGGACGTTCCACTCTGTGAGTTGAATACACACAGCACAAAGAAGTTACTGAGAATTCTTCTGTCTAGCATGAAATGAAGAAATCCCGTTTCCAACGAAGGCCTCAATGCGGTCCATATATCCACTTGCAGACTTTACAAACAGAGTGTTTCCAAACTGCTCTATGAAAAGAAAGGTTAAACTATGTGAGTTGAACGCACACATCACAAAGAATTTTCTGAGAATGATTCTGTCTGGTTTTTATTTGAAGATATTTCCCTTTCTACTGTTGGCATCAAATGGCTAGAAATCTCCACTTGCAAATTCCACAAAAAGAGTGTTTCAAATCTGCTCTGTCTAAAGGGACGTTCCACTCTGTGAGTTGAATGCACACAACACAAAGAATTTACTGAGAATTCTTCCGTCTAGCATTCAATGAAGAAATCCCGTTTCCAACGAAGGCCTCAAACAGGTCCATATATCCAATTGCAGACTTTACAAACAGTGTGTTTCCAAACTCCTCTATGAAAAGAAAGGTTAAACTCTGTGAGTTGAACGCACACATCACAAAGCACTTTCTGAGAATGATTCTGTCTGGTTATTATACGAAGATATTTCCTTTTCTGCAATTGTCCTCAAATCGCTTGAAATCTCCACCTGAAAATGCCACAGCAAGAGTGTTTCAAATCTGCTCTCTCTAAAGCAAGGTTCAACTCTGTGAGTTGAATACACACAACACAAAAAAGTTACTGAGAACTCTTCTTAGTCTAGCATTAAAGGAAGAAACCCCGTTTGCAACGAAGGCCTCAAAGAGGTCCAAATATCCACTTGCAGACATAACAAGCAGAGTGTTTCTAAACTGCTCTAAGAAAAGAAAGGTTAAACTCTGTGAGTTGAAGGCACACATCACAAAGTAGTTTCTGAGAATGATTCTGTCTAGTTTTTATTTGAAGATATTTCCTTTTCTACTGTTGGCATCAAATCGCTTGAAATCTCCACTTGCAAATTCCACAAAAAGAGTGTTTCAAATCTGCTCTGTGCAAAGGGACGTTCCACTCTGTGAGTTGAATACACACAGCACAAAGAAGTTACTGAGAATTCTTCTGTCTAGCATGAAATGAAGAAATCCCGTTTCCAACGAAGGCCTCAATGCGGTCCATATATCCACTTGCAGACTTTACAAACAGAGTGTTTCCAAACTGCTCTATGAAAAGAAAGGTCAAACTATGTGAGTTGAACGCACACATCACAAAGAATTTTCTGAGAATGATCTCTGTCTGGTTTTTATTTGAAGATATTTCCCTTTCTACTGTTGGCATCAAATGGCTAGAAATCTCCACTTGCAAATTCCGCAAAAAGAGTGTTTCAAATCTGCTCTGTCTAAAGGGACGTTCCACTCTGTGAGTTGAATGCACACAACACAAAGAATTTACTGAGAATTCTTCCGTCTAGCATTCAATGAAGAAATCCCGTTTCCAACGAAGGCCTCAAACAGGTCCATATATCCAATTGCAGACTTTACAAACAGTGTGTTTCCAAACTCCTCTATGAAAAGAAAGGTTAAACTCTGTGAGTTGAACGCACACATCACAAAGCACTTTCTGAGAATGATTCTGTCTGGTTATTATACGAAGATATTTCCTTTTCTGCAATTGTCCTCAAATCGCTTGAAATCTCCACCTGAAAATGCCACAGCAAGAGTGTTTCAAATCTGCTCTCTCTAAAACAAGGTTCAACTCTGTGAGTTGAATACACACAACACAAAAAAGTTACTGAGAACTCTTCTTAGTCTAGCATTAAAGGAAGAAACCCCGTTTGCAACGAAGGCCTCAAAGAGGTCCAAATATCCACTTGCAGACATAACAAACAGAGTGTTTCTAAACTGCTCTAAGAAAAGAAAGGTTAAACTCCGTGAGTTGAAGGCACACATCACAAAGTAGTTTCTGAGAATGATTCTGTCTAGTTTTTATTTGAAGATATTTCCTTTTCTACTGTTGGCATCAAATCGCTTGAAATCTCCACTTGCAAATTCCACAAAAAGAGTGTTTCAAATCTGCTCTGTGCAAAGGGACGTTCCACTCTGTGAGTTGAATACACACAGCACAAAGAAGTTACTGAGAATTCTTCTGTCTAGCATGAAATGAAGAAATCCCGTTTCCAACGAAGGCCTCAATGCGGTCCATATATCCACTTGCAGACTTTACAAACAGAGTGTTTCCAAACTGCTCTATGAAAAGAAAGGTTAAACTATGTGAGTTGAACGCACACATCACAAAGAATTTTCTGAGAATGATTCTGTCTGGTTTTTATTTGAAGATGTTTCCCTTTCTACTGTTGGCATCAAATGGCTAGAAATCTCCACTTGCAAATTCCGCAAAAAGAGTGTTTCAAATCTGCTCTGTCTAAAGGGACGTTCCACTCTGTCAGTTGAATGCACACAACACAAAGAATTTACTGAGAATTCTTCCGTCTAGCATTCAATGAAGAAATCCCGTTTCCAACGAAGGCCTCAAACAGGTCCATATATCCAATTGCAGACTTTACAAACAGTGTGTTTCCAAACTCCTCTATGGAAAGAAAGGTTGAACTCTGTGAGTTGAACGCACACATCACAAAGCACTTTCTGAGAATGATTCTGTCTGGTTATTATACGAAGATATTTCCTTTTCTGCAATTGTCCTCAAATCGCTTGAAATCTCCACCTGAAAATGCCACAGCAAGAGTGTTTCAAATCTGCTCTCTCTAAAGCAAGGTTCAACTCTGTGAGTTGAATACACACAACACAAAAAAGTTACTGAGAACTCTTCTTAGTCTAGCATGAAAGGAAGAAACCCCGTTTGCAACGAAGGCCTCAAAGAGGTCCAAATATCCACTTGCAGACATAACAAGCAGAGTGTTTCTAAACTGCTCTAAGAAAAGAAAGGTTAAACTCTGTGAGTTGAAGGCACACATCACAAAGTAGTTTCTGAGAATGATTCTGTCTAGTTTTTATTTGAAGATATTTCCTTTTCTACTGTTGGCATCAAATCGCTTGAAATCTCCACTTGCAAACTCCACAAAAAGAGTGTTTCAAATCTGCTCTGTGCAAAGGGACGTTCCACTCTGTGAGTTGAATACACACAGCACAAAGAAGTTACTGAGAATTCTTCTGTCTAGCATGAAATGAAGAAATCCCGTTTCCAACGAAGGTCTCAATGTGGTCCATATATCCACTTGCAGACTTTACAAACAGAGTGTTTCCAAACTGCTCTATGAAAAGAAAGGTTAAACTATGTGAGTTGAACGCACACATCACAAAGAATTTTCTGAGAATGATTCTGTCTGGTTTTTATTTGAAGATATTTCCCTTTCTACTGTTGGCATCAAATGGCTAGAAATCTCCACTTGCAAATTCCGCAAAAAGAGTGTTTCAAATCTGCTCTGTCTAAAGGGACGTTCCACTCTGTGAGTTGAATGCACACAACACAAAGAATTTACTGAGAATTCTTCCGTCTAGCATTCAATGAAGAAATCCCGTTTCCAACGAAGGCCTCATACATGTCCATATATCCAATTGCAGACTTTACAAACAGTGTGTTTCCAAACTCCTCTATGAAAAGAAAGGTTAAACTCTGTGAGTTGAACGCACACATCACAAAGCACTTTCTGAGAATGATTCTGTCTGGTTATTATACGACGATATTTCCTTTTCTGCAATTGTCCTCAAATCGCTTGAAATCTCCACCTGAAAATGCCACAGCAAGAGTGTTTCAAATCTGCTCTCTCTAAAGCAAGGTTCAACTCTGTGAGTTGAATACACACAACACAAAAAAGTTACTGAGAACTCTTCTTAGTCTAGCATGAAAGGAAGAAACCCCGTTTGCAACGAAGGCCTCAAAGAGGTCCAAATATCCACTTGCAGACATAACAAGCAGAGTGTTTCTAAACTGCTCTAAGAAAAGAAAGGTTAAACTCTGTGAGTTGAAGGCACACATCACAAAGTAGTTTCTGAGAATGATTCTGTCTAGTTTTTATTTGAAGATATTTCCTTTTCTACTGTTGGCATCAAATCGCTTGAAATCTCCACTTGCAAACTCCACAAAAAGAGTGTTTCAAATCTGCTCTGTGTAAAGGGACGTTCCACTCTGTGAGTTGAATACACACAGCACAAAGAAGTTACTGAGAATTCTTCTGTCTAGCATGAAATGAAGAAATCCCGTTTCCAACGAAGGCCTCAATGCGGTCCATATATCCACTTGCAGACTTTACAGAGTGTTTCCAAACTGCTCTATGAAAAGAAAGGTTAAACTATGTGAGTTGAACGCACACATCACAAAGAATTTTCTGAGAATGATTCTGTCTGGTTTTTATTTGAAGATATTTCCCTTTCTACTGTTGGCATCAAATGGCTAGAAATCTCCACTTGCAAATTCCGCAAAAAGAGTGTTTCAAATCTGCTCTGTCTAAAGGGACGTTCCACTCTGTGAGTTGAATGCACACAACACAAAGAATTTACTGAGAATTCTTCCGTCTAGCAGTCAATGAAGAAATCCCGTTTCCAACGAAGGCCTCAAACAGGTCCATATATCCACTTGCAGACTTTACAAACAGTGTGTTTCCAAACTCCTCTATGAAAAGAAAGGTTAAACTCTGTGAGTGGAACGCACACATCACAAAGCACTTTCTGAGAATGATTCTGTCTGGTTATTATACGAAGATATTTCCTTTTCTGCAATTGTCCTCAAATCGCTTGAAATCTCCACCTGAAAATGTCACAGCAAGAGTGTTTCAAATCTGCTCTCTCTAAAGCAAGGTTCAACTCTGTGAGTTGAATACACACAACACAAAAAAGTTACTGAGAACTCTTCTTAGTCTAGCATGAAAGGAAGAAACCCCGTTTGCAACGAAGGCCTCAAAGAGGTCCAAATATCCACTTGCAGACATAACAAGCAGAGTGTTTCTAAACTGCTCTAAGAAAAGAAAGGTTAAACTCTGTGAGTTGAAGGCACACATCACAAAGTAGTTTCTGAGAATGATTCTGTCTAGTTTTTATTTGAAGATATTTCCTTTTCTACTGTTGGCATCAAATCGCTTGAAATCTCCACTTGCAAACTCCACAAAAAGAGTGTTTCAAATCTGCTCTGTGTAAAGGGACGTTCCACTCTGTGAGTTGAATACACACAGCACAAAGAAGTTACTGAGAATTCTTCTGTCTAGCATGAAATGAAGAAATCCCGTTTCCAACGAAGGCCTCAATGCGGTCCATATATCCACTTGCAGACTTTACAAACAGAGTGTTTCCAAACTGCTCTATGAAAAGAAAGGTTAAACTATGTGAGTTGAACGCACACATCACAAAGAATTTTCTGAGAATGATTCTGTCTGGTTTTTATTTGAAGATATTTCCCTTTCTACTGTTGGCATCAAATGGCTAGAAATCTCCACTTGCAAATTCCGCAAAAAGAGTGTTTCAAATCTGCTCTGTCTAAACGGACGTTCCACTCTGTGAGTTGAATGCACAAAACACAAAGAATTTAATGAGAATTCTTCCGTCTAGCATTCAATGAAGAAATCCCGTTTCCAACGAAGGCCTCAAACAGGTCCATATATCCAATTGCAGACTTTACAAACAGTGTGTTTCCAATCTCCTCTATGAAAAGAAAGGTTAAACTCTGTGAGTTGAACGCACACATCACAAAGCACTTTCTGAGAATGATTCTGTCTGGTTATTATACGAAGATATTTCCTTTTCTGCAATTGTCCTCAAATCGCTTGAAATCTCCACCTGAAAATGCCACAGCAAGAGTGTTTCAAATCTGCTCTCTCTAAAGCAAGGTTCAACTCTGTGAGTTGAATACACACAACACAAAAAAGTTACTGAGAACTCTTCTTAGTCTAGCATGAAAGGAAGAAACCCCGTTTGCAACGAAGGCCTCAAAGAGGTCCAAATATCCACTTGCAGACATAACAAGCAGAGTGTTTCTAAACTGCTCTAAGAAAAGAAAGGTTAAACTCTGTGAGTTAAAGGCACACATCACAAAGTAGTTTCTGAGAATGATTCTGTCTAGTTTTTATTTGAAGATATTTCCTTTTCTACTGTTGGCATCAAATCGCTTGAAATCTCCACTAGCAAACTCCACAAAAAGAGTGTTTCAAATCTGCTCTGTGCAAAGGGACGTTCCACTCTGTGAGTTGAATACACACAGCACAAAGAAGTTACTGAGAATTCTTCTGTCTAGTATGAAATGAAGAAATCCCGTTTCCAACGAAGGCCTCAATGCGGTCCATATATCCACTTGCAGACTTTACAAACAGAGTGTTTCCAAACTGCTCTATGAAAAGAAAGGTTAAACTATGTGAGTTGAACGCACACATCACAAAGAATTTTCTGAGAATGATTCTGTCTGGTTTTTATTTGAAGATATTTCCCTTTCTACTGTTGGCATCAAATGGCTAGAAATCTCCACTTGCAAATTCCGCAAAAAGAGTGTTTCAAATCTGCTCTGTCTAAAGGGACGTTCCACTCTGTGAGTTGAATGCACACAACACAAAGAATTTACTGAGAATTCTTCCGTCTAGCATTCAATGAAGAAATCCCGTTTCCAACGAAGGCCTCAAACACGTCCATATATCCAATTGCAGACTTTACAAACAGTGTGTTTCCAAACTCCTCTATGAAAAGAAAGGTTAAACTCTGTGAGTTGAACGCACACATCACAAAGCACTTTCTGAGAATGATTCTGTCTGGTTATTATACGAAGATATTTCCTTTTCTGCAATTGTCCTCAAATCGCTTGAAATCTCCACCTGAAAATGCCACAGCAAGAGTGTTTCAAATCTGCTCTCTCTAAAGCAAGGTTCAACTCTGTGAGTTGAATACACACAACACAAAAAAGTTACTGAGAACTCTTCTTAGTCCAGCATGAAAGGAAGAAACCCCGTTTGCAACGAAGGCCTCAAAGAGGTCCAAATATCCACTTGCAGACATAACAAGCAGAGTGTTTCTAAACTGCTCTAAGAAAAGAAAGGTTAAACTCTGTGAGTTGAAGGCACACATCACAAAGTAGTTTCTGAGAGTGATTCTGTCTAGTTTTTATTTGAAGATATTTCCTTTTCTACTGTTGGCATCAAATCGCTTGAAATCTCCACTTGCAAACTCCACAAAAAGAGTGTTTCAAATCTGCTCTGTGCAAAGGGACGTTCCACTCTGTGAGTTGAATACACACAGCACAAAGAAGTTACTGAGAATTCTTGTCTAGCATGAAATGAAGAAATCCCGTTTCCAACGAAGGCCTCAATGCGGTCTATATATCCACTTGCAGACATCACAAACAGAGTGTTTCCAAACTGCTCTATGAAAAGAAAGGTTAAACTATGTGAGTTGAACGCACACATCACAAAGAATTTTCTGAGAATGATTCTGTCTGGTTTTTATTTGAAGATATTTCCCTTTCTACTGTTGGCATCAAATGGCTAGAAATCTCCACTTGCAAATTCCGCAAAAAGAGTGTTTCAAATCTGCTGTGTCTAAAGGGACGTTCCACTCTGTGAGTTGAATGCACACAACACAAAGAATTTACTGAGAATTCTTCCGTCTAGCATTCAATGAAGAAATCCCGTTTCCAACGAAGGCCTCAAACAGGTCCATATATCCACTTGCAGACTTTACAAACAGTGTGTTTCCAAACTCCTCTATGAAAAGAAAGGTTAAACTCTGTGAGTGGAACGCACACATCACAAAGCACTTTCTGAGAATGATTCTCTCTGGTTATTATACGAAGATATTTCCTTTTCTGCAATTGTCCTCAAATCGCTTGAAATCTCCACCTGAAAATGCCACAGCAAGAGTGTTTCAAATCTGCTCTCTCTAAAGCAAGGTTCAACTCTGTGAGTTGAATACACACAACACAAAAAAGTTACTGAGAACTCTTCTTAGTCTAGCATTAAAGGAAGAAACCCCGTTTGCAACGAAGGCCTCAAAGAGGTCCAAATATCCACTTGCAGACATAACAAGCAGAGTGTTTCTAAACTGCTCTAAGAAAAGAAAGGTTAAATTCTGTGAGTT
Organism: Homo sapiens; assembly: GCF_000001405.40. NCBI lineage: Eukaryota > Metazoa > Chordata > Mammalia > Primates > Hominidae > Homo > Homo sapiens. The sequence goes on along the minus strand of NC_000007.14, from coordinate 58,438,949 downwards.
GAAGGCACACATCACAAAGTAGTTTCAGAGAATGATTCTGTCTAGTTTTTATTTGAAGATATTTCCTTTTCTACTGTTGGCATCAAATCGCTTGAAATCTCCACCTGCAAATTCCACAAAAAGAGTGTTTCAAATCTGCTCTGTGCAAAGGGACGTTCCACTCTGTGAGTTGAATACACACAGCACAAAGAAGTTACTGAGAATTCTTCTGTCTAGCATGAAATGAAGAAATCCCGTTTCCAACGAAGGCCTCAATGCGGTCCATAGATCCACTTGCAGACTTTACAAACAGAGTGTTTCCAAACTGCTCTATGAAAAGAAAGGTTAAACTATGTGAGTTGAACGCACACATCACAAAGAATTTTCTGAGAATGATTCTGTCTGGTTTTTATTTGAAGATATTTCCCTTTCTACTGTTGGCATCAAATGGCTAGAAATCTCCACTTGCAAATTCCGCAAAAAGAGTGTTTCAAATCTGCTCTGTCTAAAGGGACGTTCCACTCTGTGAGTTGAATGCACACAACACAAAGAATTTACTGAGAATTCTTCCGTCTAGCATTCAATGAAGAAATCCCGTTTCCAACGAAGGCCTCAAACAGGTCCATATATCCAATTGCAGACTTTACAAACAGTGTGTTTCCAAACTCCTCTATGAAAAGAAAGGTTAAACTCTGTGAGTGGAACGCACACATCACAAAGCACTTTCTGAGAATGATTCTGTCTGGTTGTTATACGAAGATATTTCCTTTTCTGCAATTGTCCTCAAATCGCTTGAAATCTCCACCTGAAAATGCCACAGCAAGAGTGTTTCAAATCTGCTCTCTCTAAAGCAAGGTTCAACTCTGTGAGTTGAATACACACAACACAAAAAAGTTACTGAGAACTCTTCTTAGTCTAGCATGAAAGGAAGAAACCCCGTTTGCAACGAAGGCCTCAAAGAGGTCCAAATATCCACTTGCAGACATAACAAGCAGAGTGTTTCTAAACTGCTCTAAGAAAAGAAAGGTTAAACTCTGTGAGTTGAAGGCACACATCACAAAGTAGTTTCTGAGAATGATTCTGTCTAGTTTTTATTTGAAGATATTTCCTTTTCTACTGTTGGCATCAAATCGCTTGAAATCTCCACTTGCAAACTCCACAAAAAGAGTGTTTCAAATCTGCTCTGTGTAAAGGGACGTTCCACTCTGTGAGTTGAATACACACAGCACAAAGAAGTTACTGAGAATTCTTCTGTCTAGCATGAAATGAAGAAATCCCGTTTCCAACGAAGGCCTCAATGCGGTCCATATATCCACTTGCAGACTTTACAAACAGAGTGTTTCCAAACTGCTCTATGAAAAGAAAGGTTAAACTATGTGAGTTGAACGCACACATCACAAAGAATTTTCTGAGAATGATTCTGTCTGGTTTTTATTTGAAGATATTTCCCTTTCTACTGTTGGCATCAAATGGCTAGAAATCTCCACTTGCAAATTCCGCAAAAAGAGTGTTTCAAATCTGCTCTGTCTAAAGGGACGTTCCACTCTGTGAGTTGAATACACACAGCACAAAGAAGTTACTGAGAATTCTTCTGTCTAGCATGAAATGAAGAAATCCCGTTTCCAACGAAGGCCTCAATGCGGTCCATATATCCACTTGCAGACTTTACAAACAGAGTGTTTCCAAACTGCTCTATGAAAAGAAAGGTTAAACTATGTGAGTTGAACGCACACATCACAAAGAATTTTCTGAGAATGATTCTGTCTGGTTTTTATTTGAAGATATTTCCCTTTCTACTGTTGGCATCAAATGGCTAGAAATCTACACTTGCAAATTCCGCAAAAAGAGTGTTTCAAATCTGCTCTCTCTAAAGGGACGTTCCACTCTGTCAGTTGAATGCACACAACACAAAGAATTTACTGAGAATTCTTCCGTCTAGCATTCAATGAAGAAATCCCGTTTCCAACGAAGGCCTCAAACAGGTCCATATATCCAATTGCAGACTTTACAAACAGTGTGTTTCCAAACTCCTCTATGGAAAGAAAGGTTAAACTCTGTGAGTTGAACGCACACATCACAAAGCACTTTCTGAGAATGATTCTGTCTGGTTATTATACGAAGATATTTCCTTTTCTGCAATTGTCCTCAAATCGCTTGAAATCTCCACCTGAAAATGCCACAGCAAGAGTGTTTCAAATCTGCTCTCTCTAAAGCAAGGTTCAACTCTGTGAGTTGAATACACACAACACAAAAAAGTTACTGAGAACTCTTCTTAGTCTAGTATGAAAGGAAGAAACACCGTTTGCAACGAAGGCCTCAAAGAGGTCCAAATATCCACTTGCAGACATAACAAGCAGAGTGTTTCTAAAGTGCTCTAAGAAAAGAAAGGTTAAACTCTGTGAGTTGAAGGCACACATCACAAAGTAGTTTCTGAGAATGATTCTGTCTAGTTTTTATTTGAAGATATTTCCTTTTCTACTGTTGGCATCAAATCGCTTGAAATCTTCACTTGCAAACTCCACAAGAAGAGTGTTTCAAATCTGCTCTGTGTAAAGGGACGTTCCACTCTGTGAGTTGAATACACACAGCACAAAGAAGTTGCTGAGAATTCTTCTGTCTAGCATGAAATGCAGAAATCCCGTTTCCAACGAAGGCCTCAATGTGGTCCATATATCCACTTGCAGACTTTACAAACAGAGTGTTTCCAAACTGCTCTATGAAAAGAAAGGTTAAACTATGTGAGTTGAACGCACACATCACAAAGAATTTTCTGAGAATGATTCTGTCTGGTTTTTATTTGAAGATGTTTCCCTTTCTACTGTTGGCATCAAATGGCTAGAAATCTCCACTTGCAAATTCCGCAAAAAGAGTGTTTCAAATCTGCTCTGTCTAAAGGGACGTTCCACTCTGTCAGTTGAATGCACACAACACAAAGAATTTACTGAGAATTCTTCCGTCTAGCATTCAATGAAGAAATCCCGTTTCCAACGAAGGCCTCAAACAGGTCCATATATCCAATTGCAGACTTTACAAACAGTGTGTTTCCAAACTCCTCTATGGAAAGAAAGGTTAAACTCTGTGAGTTGAACGCACACATCACAAAGCACTTTCTGAGAATGATTCTGTCTGGTTATTATACGAAGATATTTCCTTTTCTGCAATTGTCCTCAAATCGCTTGAAATCTCCACCTGAAAATGCCACAGCAAGAGTGTTTCAAATCTGCTCTCTCTAAAGCAAGGTTCAACTCTGTGAGTTGAATACACACAACACAAAAAAGTTACTGAGAACTCTTCTTAGTCTAGCATGAAAGGAAGAAACCCCGTTTGCAACGAAGGCCTCAAAGAGGTCCAAATATCCACTTGCAGACATAACAAGCAGAGTGTTTCTAAACTGCTCTAAGAAAAGAAAGGTTAAACTCTGTGAGTTGAAGGCACACATCACAAAGTAGTTTCTGAGAATGATTCTGTCTAGTTTTTATTTGAAGATATTTCCTTTTCTACTGTTGGCATCAAATCGCTTGAAATCTCCACTTGCAAACTCCACAAAAAGAGTGTTTCAAATCTGCTCTGTGCAAAGGGACGTTCCACTCTGTGAGTTGAATACACACAGCACAAAGAAGTTACTGAGAATTCTTCTGTCTAGCATGAAATGAAGAAATCCCGTTTCCAACGAAGGCCTCAATGCGGTCCATATATCCACTTGCAGACTTTACAAACAGAGTGTTTCCAAACTGCTCTATGAAAAGAAAGGTTAAACTATGTGAGTTGAACGCACACATCACAAAGAATTTTCTGAGAATGATTCTGTCTGGTTTTTATTTGAAGATATTTCCCTTTCTACTGTTGGCATCAAATGGCTAGAAATCTCCACTTGCAAATTCCGCAAAAAGAGTGTTTCAAATCTGCTCTGTCTAAAGGGACGTTCCACTCTGTGAGTTGAATGCACACAACACAAAGAATTTACTGAGAATTCTTCCGTCTAGCATTCAATGAAGAAATCCCGTTTCCAACGAAGGCCTCAAACAGGTCCATATATCCACTTGCAGACTTTACAAACAGTGTGTTTCCAAACTCCTCTATGAAAGGAAAGGTTAAACTCTGTGAGTGGAACGCACACATCACAAAGCACTTTCTGAGAATGATTCTGTCTGGTTATTATACGAAGATATTTCCTTTTCTGCAATTGTCCTCAAATCGCTTGAAATCTCCACCTGAAAATGCCACAGCAAGAGTGTTTCAAATCTGCTCTCTCTAAAGCAAGGTTCAACTCTGTGAGTTGAATACACACAACACAAAAAAGTTACTGAGAACTCTTCTTAGTCTAGCATTAAAGGAAGAAACCCCGTTTGCAACGAAGGCCTCAAAGAGGTCCAAATATCCACTTGCAGACGTAACAAGCAGAGTGTTTCTAAACTGCTCTAAGAAAAGAAAGGTTAAACTCTGTGAGTTGAAGGCACACATCACAAAGTAGTTTCTGAGAATGATTCTGTCTAGTTTTTATTAGAAGATATTTCCTTTTCTACTGTTGGCATCAAATCGCTTGAAATCTCCACTTGCAAACTCCACAAAAAGAGTGTTTCAAATCTGCTCTGTGTAAAGGGACGTTCCACTCTGTGAGTTGAATACACACAGCACAAAGAAGTTACTGAGAATTCTTCTGTCTAGCATGAAATGAAGAAATCCCGTTTCCAACGAAGGCCTCAATGCGGTCCATATATCCACTTGCAGACTTTACAAACAGAGTGTTTCCAAACTGCTCTATGAAAAGAAAGGTTAAACTATGTGAGTTGAACGCACACATCACAAAGAATTTTCTGAGAATGATTCTGTCTGGTTTTTATTTGAAGATATTTCCCTTTCTACTGTTGGCATCAAATGGCTAGAAATCTCCACTTGCAAATTCCGCAAAAAGAGTGTTTCAAATCTGCTCTGTCTAAAGGGACGTTCCACTCTGTGAGTTGAATGCATACAACACAAAGAATTTACTGAGAATTCTTCCGTCTATCATTATATGATAAAATCCCGTTTCCAACGAAGGCCTCAAACAGGTCCATATATCCAATTGCAGACTTTACAAACAGTGTGTTTCCAAACTCCTCTATGAAAAGAAAGGTTAAACTCTGTGAGTTGAACGCACACATCACAAAGCACTTTCTGAGAATGATTCTGTCTGGTTATTATACGAAGATATTTCCTTTTCTGCAATTGTCCTCAAATCGCTTGAAATCTCCACCTGAAAATGCCACAGCAAGAGTGTTTCAAATCTGCTCTCTCTAAAGCAAGGTTCAACTCTGTGAGTTGAATACACACAACACAAAAAAGTTACTGAGAACTCTTCTTAGTCTAGCATGAAAGGAAGAAACCCCGTTTGCAACGAAGGCCTCAAAGAGGTCCAAATATCCACTTGCAGACATAACAAGCAGAGTGTTTCTAAACTGCTCTAAGAAAAGAAAGGTTAAACTCTGTGAGTTGAAGGCACACATCACAAAGTAGTTTCTGAGAATGATTCTGTCTAGTTTTTATTTGAAGATATTTCCTTTTCTACTGCTGGCATCAAATCGCTTGAAATCTCCACTTGCAAACTCCACAAAAAGAGTGTTTCAAATCTGCTCTGTGTAAAGGGACGTTCCACTCTGTGAGTTGAATACACACAGCACAAAGAAGTTACTGAGAATTCTTCTGTCTAGCATGAAATGAAGAAATCCCGTTTCCAACGAAGGCCTCAATGCGGTCCATATATCCACTTGCAGACTTTACAAACAGAGTGTTTCCAAACTGCTCTATGAAAAGAAAGGTTAAACTATGTGAGTTGAACGCACACATCACAAAAATTTTCTGAGAATGATTCTGTCTGGTTTTTATTTGAAGATATTTCCCTTTCTACTGTTGACATCAAATGGCTAGAAATCTCCACTTGCAAATTCCGCAAAAAGAGTGTTTCAAATCTGCTCTGTCTAAAGGGACGTTCCACTCTGTGAGTTGAATGCACACAACACAAAGAATTTACTGAGAATTCTTCCGTCTAGCATTCAATGAAGAAATCCCGTTTCCAACGAAGGGCCTCAAACAGGTCCATATATCCAATTGCAGACTTTACAAACAGTGTGTTTCCAAACTCCTCTATGAAAAGAAAGATTAAACTCTGTGAGTTGAACGCACACATCACAAAGCACTTTCTGAGAATGATTCTGTCTGGTTATTATACGAAGATATTTCCTTTTCTGCAATTGTCCTCAAATCGCTTGAAATCTCCACCTGAAAATGCCACAGCAAGAGTGTTTCAAATCTGCTCTCTCTAAAGCAAGGTTCAACTCTGTGAGTTGAATACACACAACACAAAAAAGTTACTGAGAACTCTTCTTAGTCTAGCATGAAAGGAAGAAACCCCGTTTGCAACGAAGGCCTCAAAGAGGTCCAAATATCCACTTGCAGACATAACAAGCAGAGTGTTTCTAAACTGCTCTAAGAAAAGAAAGGTTAAACTCTGTGAGTTGAAGGCACACATCACAAAGTAGTTTCTGAGAATGATTCTGTCTAGTTTTTATTTGAATATATTTCTTTTTCTACTGTTGGCATCAAATCGCTTGAAATCTCCACTTGCAAATTCCACAAAAAGAGTGTTTCAAATCTGCTCTGTGTAAAGGGACGTTCCACTCTGTGAGTTGAATACACACAGCACAAAGAAGTTACTGAGAATTCTTCTGTCTAGCATGAAATGAAGAAATCCCGTTTCCAACGAAGGCCTCAATGCGGTCCATATATCCACTTGCAGACTTTACAAACAGAGTGTTTCCAAACTGCTCTATGAAAAGAAAGGTTAAACTATGTGAGTTGAACGCACACATCACAAAGAATTTTCTGAGAATGATTCTGTCTGGTTTTTATTTGAAGATATTTCCCTTTCTACTGTTGGCATCAAATGGCTAGAAATCTCCACTTGCAAATTCCGCAAAAAGAGTGTTTCAAATCTGCTCTGTCTAAAGGGACGTTCCACTCTGTGAGTTGAATGCACACAACACAAAGAATTTACTGAGAATTCTTCCGTCTAGCATTCAATGAAGAAATCCCGTTTCCAACGAAGGGCCTCAAAGAGGTCCATATATCCACTTGCAGACTTTACAAACAGTGTGTTTCCAAACTCCTCTATGAAAAGAAAGGTTAAACTCTGTGAGTGGAATGCACACATCACAAAGCACTTTCTGAGAATGATTCTGTCTGGTTATTATACGAAGATATTTCCTTTTCTGCAATTGTCCTCAAATCGCTTGAAATCTCCACCTGAAAATGCCACAGCAAGAGTGTTTCAAATCTGCTCTCTCTAAAGCAAGGTTCAACTCTGTGAGTTGAATACACACAACACAAAAAAGTTACTGAGAACTCTTCTTAGTCTAGCATGAAAGGAAGAAACCCCGTTTGCAACGAAGGCCTCAAAGAGGTCCAAATATCCACTTGCAGACATAACAAGCAGAGTGTTTCTAAACTGCTCTAAGAAAAGAAAGGTTAAACTCTGTGAGTTGAAGGCACACATCACAAAGTAGTTTCTGAGAATGATTCTGTCTAGTTTTTATTTGAAGATATTTCCTTTTCTACTGTTGGCATCAAATCGCTTGAAATCTCCACTTGCAAACTCCACAAATAGAGTGTTTCAAATCTGCTCTGTGTAAAGGGACGTTCCACTCTGTGAGTTGAATACACACAGCACAAAGAAGTTACTGAGAATTCTTCTGTCTAGCATGAAATGAAGAAATCCCGTTTCCAACGAAGGCCTCAATGCGGTCCATATATCCACTTGCAGACTTTACAAACAGAGTGTTTCCAAACTGCTCTATGAAAAGAAAGGTTAAACTATGTGAGTTGAACGCACACATCACAAAGAATTTTCTGAGAATGATTCTGTCTGGTTTTTATTTGAAGATATTTCCCTTTCTACTGTTGGCATCAAATGGCTAGAAATCTCCACTTGCAAATTCCGCAAAAAGAGTGTTTCAAATCTGCTCTGTCTAAAGGGACGTTCCACTCTGTGAGTTGAATGCACACAACACAAAGAATTTACTGAGAATTCTTCCGTCTAGCATTCAATGAAGAAATCCCGTTTCCAACGAAGGCCTCAAACAGGTCCATATATCCACTTGCAGACTTTACAAACAGTGTGTTTCCAAACTCCTCTATGAAAAGAAAGGTTAAACTCTGTGAGTTGAACGCACACATCACAAAGCACTTTCTGAGAATGATTCTGTCTGGTTATTATACGAAGATATTTCCTTTTCTGCAATTGTCCTCAAATCGCTTGAAATCTCCACCTGAAAATGCCACAGCAAGAGTGTTTCAAATCTGCTCTCTCTAAAGCATGGTTCAACTCTGTGAGTTGAATACACACAACACAAAAAAGTTACTGAGAACTCTTCTTAGTCTAGCATGAAAGGAAGAAACCCCGTTTGCAACGAAGGCCTCAAAGAGGTCCAAATATCCACTTGCAGACATAACAAGCAGAGTGTTTCTAAACTGCTCAAAGAAAAGAAAGGTTAAACTCTGTGAGTTGAAGGCAGACATCACAAAGTAGTTTCTGAGAATGATTCTGTCTAGTTTTTGTTTGCAGATATTTCCTTTTCTACTGTTGGCATCAAATCGCTTGAAATCTCCAATTACAAACTCCACAAAAAGAGTGTTTCAAATCTGCTCTGTGCAAAGGGACGTTCCACTCTGTGAGTTGAATACACACAGCACAGAGAAGTTACTGAGAATTCTTCTGTCTAGCATGAAATGAAGAAATCCCGTTTCCAACGAAGGCCTCAATGCGGTCCATATATCCACTTGCAGACTTTACAAACAGAGTGTTTCCAAACTGCTCTATGAAAAGAAAGGTTAAACTATGTGAGTTGAACGCACACATCACAAAGAATTTTCTGAGAATGATTCTGTCTGGTTTTTATTTGAAGATATTTCCCTTTCTACTGTTGGCATCAAATGGCTAGAAATCTCCACTTGCAAATTCCGCAAAAAGAGTGTTTCAAATCTGCTCTGTCTAAAGGGACGTTCCACTCTGTGAGTTGAATGCACACAACACAAAGAATTTACTGAGAATTCTTCCGTCTAGCATTCAATGAAGAAATCCCGTTTCCAACGAAGGCCTCAAACAGGTCCATATATCCACTTGCAGAGTTTACAAACAGTGTGTTTCCAAACTCCTCTATGAAAAGAAAGGTTAAACTCTGTGAGTGGAACGCACACATCACAAAGCACTTTCTGAGAATGATTCTGTCTGGTTATTATACGAAGATATTTCCTTTTCTGCAATTGTCCTCAAATCGCTTGAAATCTCCACCTGAAAATGCCACAGCAAGAGTGTTTCAAATCTGCTCTCTCTAAAGCAAGGTTCAACTCTGTGAGTTGAATACACACAACACAAAAAAGTTACTGAGAACTCTTCTTAGTCTAGCATGAAAGGAAGAAACCCCGTTTGCAACGAAGGCCTCAAAGAGGTCCAAATATCCACTTGCAGACATAACAAGCAGAGTGTTTCTAAACTGCTCTAAGAAAAGAAAGGTTAAACTCTGTGAGTTGAAGGCACACATCACAAAGTAGTTTCTGAGAATGATTCTGTCTAGTTTTTATTTGAAGATATTTCCTTTTCTACTGTTGGCATCAAATCGCTTGAAATCTCCACTTGCAAACTCCACAAAAAGAGTGTTTCAAATCTGCTCTGTGTAAAGGGACGTTCCACTCTGTGAGTTGAATACACACAGCACAAAGAAGTTACTGAGAATTCTTCTATCTAGCATGAAATGAAGAAATCCCGTTTCCAACGAAGGCCTCAATGCGGTCCATATATCCACTTGCAGAATTTACAAACAGAGTGTTTCCAAACTGCTCTATGAAAAGAAAGGTTAAACTATGTGAGTTGAACGCACACATCACAAAGAATTTTCTGAGAATGATTCTGTCTGGTTTTTATTTGAAGATATTTCCCTTTCTACTGTTGGCATCAAATGGCTAGAAATCTCCACTTGCAAATTCCGCAAAAAGAGTGTTTCAAATCTGCTCTGTCTAAAGGGACGTTCCACTCTGTCAGTTGAATGCACACAACACAAAGAATTTACTGAGAATTCTTCCGTCTAGCATTCAATGAAGAAATCCCGTTTCCAACGAAGGGCTCAAACAGGTCCATATATCCACTTGCAGACTTTACAAACAGTGTGTTTCCAAACTCCTCTATGAAAAGAAAGGTTAAACTCTGTGAGTTGAACGCACACATCACAAAGCACTTCCTGAGAATGATTCTGTCTGGTTATTATACGAAGATATTTCCTTTTCTGCAATTGTCCTCAAATCGCTTGAAATCTCCACCTGAAAATGCCACAGCAAGAGTGTTTCAAATCTGCTCTCTCTAAAGCAAGGTTCAACTCTGTGAGTTGAATACACACAACACAAAAAAGTTACTGAGAACTCTTCTTAGTCTAGCATGAAAGGAAGAAACCCCGTTTGCAACGAAGGCCTCAAAGAGGTCCAAATATCCACTTGCAGACATAACAAGCAGAGTGTTTCTAAACTGCTCTAAGAAAAGAAAGGTTAAACTCTGTGAGTTGAAGGCACACATCACAAAGTAGTTTCTGAGAATGATTCTGTCTAGTTTTTATTTGAAGATATTTCCTTTTCTACTGTTGGCATCAAATCGCTTGAAATCTCCACTTGCAAATTCCACAAAAAGAGTGTTTCAAATCTGTTCTGTGTAAAGGAACGTTCCACTCTGTGAGTTGAATACACACAGCACAAAGAAGTTACTGAGAATTCTTCTGTCTAGCATGAAATGAAGAAATCCCGTTTCCAACGAAGGCCTCAATGCGGTCCATATATCCACTTGCAGACTTTACAAACAGAGTGTTTCCAAACTGCTCTATGAAAAGAAAGGTTAAACTATGTGAGTTGAACGCACACATCACAAAGAATTTTCTGAGAATGATTCTGTCTGGTTTTTATTTGAAGATATTTCCCTTTCTACTGTTGGCATCAAATGGCTAGAAATCTCCACTTGCAAATTCCGCAAAAAGAGTGTTTCAAATCTGCTCTGTCTTAAGGGACGTTCCACTCTGTGAGTTGAATGCACACAACACAAAGAATTTACTGAGAATTCTTCCGTCTAGCATTCAATGAAGAAATCCCGTTTCCAACGAAGGCCTCAAACAGGTCCATATATCCAATTGCAGACTTTACAAACAGTGTGTTTCCAAACTCCTCTATGAAAAGAAAGGTTAAACTCTGTGAGTTGAACGCACACATCACAAAGCACTTTCGGAGAATGATTCTGTCTAGTTTTTATTTGAAGATATTTCCCTTTCCACTGTTGGCATCAAATGGCTAGAAATCTCCACTTGCAACTTCCGCAAAAAGAGTGTTTCAAATTTGCTCTGTCTAAAGGGACGTTCCACTGTGTGAGTTGAATGCACACAACACAAAGAATTTACTGAGAATTCTTCCGTCTAGCATTCAATGAAGAAATCCCGTTTCCAACGAAGGCCTCAAACAGGTCCATATATCCACTTGCAGACGTTACAAACAGTGTGTTTCCAAACTCCTCTATGAAAAGAAAGGTTAAAGTCTGTGAGTTGAACGCACACATCACAAAGCACTTTCTGTGAATGATTCTGTCTGGTTATTATACGAAGATATTTCCTTTTCTCCAATTGTCCTCAAATCGCTTGATATCTCCACCTGAAAATGCCACAGCAAGAGTGTTTCAAATCTGCTCTCTCTAAAGCAAGGTTCAACTCTGTGAGTTGAATACACACAACACAAAAAAGTTACTGAGAACTCTTCTTAGTCTAGCGTGAAAGGAAGAAACCCCGTTTGCAACGAAGGCCTCAAAGAGGTCCAAATATCCACTTGCAGACATAACAAGGAGAGTGTTTCTAAACTGCTCTAAGAAAAGAAAGGTTAAACTCTGTGAGTTGAAGGCACACATCACAAAGTAGTTTACTGAGAATGATTCTGTCTAGTTTTTATTTGAAGATATTTCCTTTTCTACTGTTGGCATCAAATCGCTTGAAATCTCCACTTGCAAACTCCACAAAAAGAGTGTTTCAAATCTGCTCTGTGCAAAGGGACGTTCCACTCTGTGAGTTGAATACACACAGCACAAAGAAGTTACTGAGAATTCTTCTGTCTAGCATGAAATGAAGAAATCCCGTTTCCAACGAAGGCCTCAATGCGGTCCATATATCCACTTGCAGACTTTACAAACAGAGTGTTTCCAAACTGCTCTATGAAAAGAAAGGTTAAACTATGTGAGTTGAACGCACACATCACAAAGAATTTTCTGAGAATGATTCTGTCTGGTTTTTATTTGAAGATATTTCCCTTTCTACTGTTGGCATCAAATGGCTAGAAATCTCCACTTGCAAATTCCGCAAAAAGAGTGTTTCAAATCTGCTCTGCCTAAAGGGACGTTCCACTCTGTGAGTTGAATGCACACAACACAAAGAATTTACTGAGAATTCTTCCGTCTAGCATTCAATGAAGAAATCCCGTTTCCAACGAAGGCCTCAAACAGGTCCATATATCCACTTGCAGACTTTACAAACAGTGTGTTTCCAAACTCCTCTATGAAAAGAAAGGTTAAACTCTGTGAGTTGAACGCACACATCACAAAGCACTTTCTGAGAATGATTCTGTCTGGTTATTATACGAAGATATTTCCTTTTCTGCAATTGTCCTCAAAACGCTTGAAATCTCCACCTGAAAATGCCACAGCAAGAGTGTTTCAAATCTGCTCTCTCTAAAGCAAGGTTCAACTGTGTGAGTTGAATACACACAACACAGAAAAGTTACTGAGAACTCTTCTTAGTCTAGCATGAAAGGAAGAAACCCCGTTTGCAACGAAGGCCTCAAAGAGGTCCAAATATCCACATGCAGACATAACAAGCAGAGTGTTTCTAAACTGCTCTAAGAAAAGAAAGGTTAAACTATGTGAGTTGAACGCACACATCACAAAGAATTTTCTGAGAATGATTCTGTCTGGTTTTTATTTGAAGATATTTCCCTTTCTACTGTTGGCATCAAATGGCTAGAAATCTCCACTTGCAAATTCCGCAAAAAGAGTGTTTCAAATCTGCTCTGTCTAAAGGGACGTTCCACTCTGTGAGTTGAATGCACACAACACAAAGAATTTACTGAGAATTCTTCCGTCTAGCATTCAATGAAGAAATCCCGTTTCCAACGAAGGCCTCAAACAGGTCCATATATCCACTTGCAGACTTTACAAACAGTGTGTTTCCAAACTCCTCTATGAAAAGAAAGGTTAAACTCTGTGAGTGGAACGCACACATCACAAAGCACTTTCTGAGAATGATTCTGTCTGGTTATTATACGAAGATATTTCCTTTTCTGCAATTGTCCTCAAATCGCTTGAAATCTCCACCTGAAAATGCCACAGCAAGAGTGTTTCAAATCTGCTCTCTCTAAAGCAAGGTTCAACTCTGTGAGTTGAATACACACAACACAAAAAAGTTACTGAGAACTCTTCTTAGTCTAGCATGAAAGGAAGAAACCCCGTTTGCAACGAAGGCCTCAAAGAGGTCCAAATATCCACTTGCAGACATAACAAGCAGAGTGTTTCTAAACTGCTCTAAGAAAAGAAAGGTTAAACTCTGTGAGTTGAAGGCACACATCACAAAGCAGTTTCTGAGAATGATTCTGTCTAGTTTTTATTTGAAGATATTTCCTTTTCTACTGTTGGCATCAAATCGCTTGAAATCTCCACTTGCAAACTCCACAAAAAGAGTGTTTCAAATCTGCTCTGTGCAAAGGGACGTTCCACTCTGTGAGTTGAATACACACAGCACAAAGAAGTTACTGAGAATTCTTCTGTCTAGCATGAAATCAAGAAATCCCGTTTCCAACGAAGGCCTCAATGCGGTCCATATATCCACTTGCAGACTTTACAAACAGAGTGTTTCCAAACTGCTCTATGAAAAGAAAGGTTAAACTATGTGAGTTGAACGCACACATCACAAAGAATTTTCTGAGAATGATTCTGTCTGGTTTTTATTTGAAGATATTTCCCTTTCTACTGTTGGCATCAAATGTCTAGAAATCTCCACTTGCAAATTCCGCAAAAAGAGTGTTTCAAATCTGCTCTGTCTAAAGCGACGTTCCACTCTGTCAGTTGAATGCACACAACACAAAGAATTTACTGAGAATTCTCCGTCTAGCATTCAATGAAGAAATCCCGTTTCCAACGAAGGCCTCAAACAGGTCCATATATCCACTTGCAGAGTTTACAAACAGTGTGTTTCCAAACTCCTCTATGAAAGGAAAGGTTAAACTCTGTGAGTGGAACGCACACATCACAAAGCACTTCTGAGAATGATTTCTGTCTGGTTATTATACGAAGATATTTCCTTTTCTGCAATTGTCCTCAAATCGCTTGAAATCTCCACCTGAAAATGCCACAGCAAGAGTGTTTCAAATCTGCTCTCTCTAAAGCAAGGTTCAACTCTGTGAGTTGAATACACACAACACAAAAAAGTTACTGAGAACTCTTCTTAGTCTAGCATGAAAGGAAGAAATCCCGTTTGCAACGAAGGCCTCAAAGAGGTCCAAATATCCACTTGCAGACATAACAAGCAGAGTGTTTCTAAACTGCTCTAAGAAAAGAAAGGTTAAACTCTGTGAGTTGAAGGCACACATCACAAAGTAGTTTCTGAGAATGATTCTGTCTAGTTTTTATTTGAAGATATTTCCTTTTCTACTGTTGGCATCAAATCGCTTGAAATCTCCACTTGCAAACTCCACAAAAAGAGTGTTTCAAATCTGCTCTGTGCAAAGGGACGTTCCACTCTGTGAGTTGAATACACACAGCACAAAGAAGTTACTGAGAATTCTTCTGTCTAGTATGAAATGAAGAAATCCCGTTTCCAACGAAGGCCTCAATGCGGTCCATATATCCACTTGCAGACTTTACAAACAGAGTGTTTCCAAACTGCTCTACGAAAAGAAAGGTTAAACTATGTGAGTTGAACGCACACATCACAAAGAATTTTCTGAGAATGATTCTGTCTGGTTTTTATTTGAAGATATTTCCCTTTCTACTGTTGGCATCAAATGGCTAGAAATCTCCACTTGCAAATTCCGCAAAAAGAGTGTTTCAAATCTGCTCTGTCTAAAGGGACGTTCCACTCTGTGAGTTGAATGCACACAACACAAAGAATTTACTGAGAATTCTTCCGTCTAGCATTCAATGAAGAAATCCCGTTTCCAACCAAGGCCTCAAACAGGTCCATATATCCACTTGCAGAGTTTACAAACAGTGTGTTTCCAAACTCCTCTATGAAAAGAAAGGTTAAACTCTGTGAGTGGAACGCACACATCACAAAGCACTTTCTGAGAATGATTCTGTCTGGTTATTATACGAAGATATTTCCTTTTCTGCAATTGTCCTCAAAACGCTTGAAATCTCCACCTGAAAATGCCACAGCAAGAGTGTTTCAAATCTGCTCTCTCTAAAGCAACGTTCAACTCTGTGAGTTGAATACACACAACACAAAAAAGTTACTGAGAACTGTTCTTAGTCTAGCATGTAAAGGAAGAAACCCCGTTTGCAACGAAGGCCTCAAAGAGGTCCAAATATCCACTTGCAGACATAACAAGCAGAGTGTTTCTAAAGTGCTCTAAGAAAAGAAAGGTTAAACTCTGTGAGTTGAAGGCACACATCACAAAGTAGTTTCTGAGAATGATTCTGTCTAGTTTTTATTTGAAGATATTTCCTTTTCTACTGTTGGCATCAAATCGCTTGAAATCTCCACTTGCAAACTCCACAAAAAGAGTGTTTAAAATCTGCTCTGTGCAAAGGGACGTTCCACTCTGTGAGTTGAATACACACAGCACAAAGAAGTTACTGAGAATTCTTCTGTCTAGCATGAAATGAAGAAATCCCGTTTCCAACGAAGGCCTCAATGCGGTCCATATATCCACTTGCAGACTTTACAAACAGAGTGTTTCCAAACTGCTCTATGAAAAGAAAGGTTAAACTATGTGAGTTGAACGCACACATCACAAAGAATTTTCTGAGAATGATTCTGTCTGGTTTTTATTTGAAGATATTTCCCTTTCTACTGTTGGCATCAAATGGCTAGAAATCTCCACTTGCAAATTCCGCAAAAAGAGTGTTTCAAATCTGCTCTGTCTAAAGGGACGTTCCACTCTGTGAGTTGAATGCACACAACACAAAGAATTTACTGAGAATTCTTCCGTCTAGCATTCAATGAAGAAATCCCGTTTCCAACGAAGGCCTCAAACAGGTCCATATATCCACTTGCAGACTTTACAAACAGTGTGTTTCCAAACTCCTCTATGAAAAGAAAGGTTAAACTCTGTGAGTTGAACGCACACATCACAAAGCACTTTCTGAGAATGATTCTGTCTGGTTATTATACGAAGATATTTCCTTTTCTGCAATTGTCCTCAAAACGCTTGAAATCTCCACCTGAAAATGCCACAGCAAGAGTGTTTCAAATCTGCTCTCTCTAAAGCAAGGTTCAACTCTGTGAGTTGAATACACACAACACAAAAAAGTTACTGAGAACTCTTCTTAGTCTAGCGTGAAAGGAAGAAACCCCGTTTGCAACGAAGGCCTCAAAGAGGTCCAAATATCCACTTGCAGACATAACAAGGAGAGTGTTTCTAAACTGCTCTAAGAAAAGAAAGGTTAAACTCTGTGAGTTGAAGGCACACATCACAAAGTAGTTTCTGAGAATGATTCTGTCTAGTTTTTATTTGAAGATATTTCCTTTTCTACTGTTGGCATCAAATCGCTTGAAATCTCCACTTGCAAACTCCACAAAAAGAGTGTTTCAAATCTGCTCTGTGCAAAGGGATGTTCCACTCTGTGAGTTGAATACACACAGCACAAAGAAGTTACTGAGAATTCTTCTGTCTAGTATGAAATGAAGAAATCCCGTTTCCAACGAAGGCCTCAATGCGGTCCATATATCCACTTGCAGACTTTACAAACAGAGTGTTTCCAAACTGCTCTATGAAAAGAAAGGTTAAACTATGTGAGTTGAACGCACACATCACAAAGAATTTTCTGAGAATGATTTCTGTCTGGTTTTTATTTGAAGATATTTCCCTTTCTACTGTTGGCATCAAATGGCTAGAAATCTCCACTTGCAAATTCCGCAAAAAGAGTGTTTCAAATCTGCTCTGTCTAAAGGGACGTTCCACTCTGTGAGTTGAATGCACACAACACAAAGAATTTACTGAGAATTCTTCCGTCTAGCATTCAATGAAGAAATCCCGTTTCCAACGAAGGCCTCAAACAGGTCCATATATCCAATTGCAGACTTTACAAACAGTGTGTTTCCAAACTCCTCTATGAAAAGAAAGGTTAAACTCTGTGAGTTGAACGCACACATCACAAAGCACTTTCTGAGAATGATTCTGTCTGGTTGTTATACGAAGATATTTCCTTTTCTGCAATTGTCCTCAAATCGCTTGAAATCTCCACCTGAAAATGCCACAGCAAGAGTGTTTCAAATCTGCTCTCTCTAAAGCAAGGTTCAACTCTGTGAGTTGAATACACACAACACAAAAAAGTTACTGAGAACTCTTCTTAGTCTAGCATGAAAGGAAGAAACCCCGTTTGCAACGAAGGCCTCAAAGAGGTCCAAATATCCACTTGCAGACATAACAAGCAGAGTGTTTCTAAACTGCTCTAAGAAAAGAAAGGTTAAACTCTGTGAGTTGAAGGCACACATCACAAAGTAGTTTCTGAGAATGATTCTGTCTAGTTTTTATTTGAAGATATTTCCTTTTCTACTGTTGGCATCAAATCGCTTGAAATCTCCACTTGCAAACTCCACAAAAAGAGTGTTTCAAATCTGCTCTGTGCAAAGGGACGTTCCACTCTGTGAGTTGAATACACACAGCACAAAGAAGTTACTGAGAATTCTTCTGTCTAGCATGAAATGAAGAAATCCCGTTTCCAACGAAGGCCTCAATGCGGTCCATATATCCACTTGCAGACTTTACAAACAGAGTGTTTCCAAACTGCTCTATGAAAAGAAAGGTTAAACTATGTGAGTTGAACGCACACATCACAAAGAATTTTCTGAGAATGATTCTGTCTGGTTTTTATTTGAAGATATTTCCCTTTCTACTGTTGGCATCAAATGGCTAGAAATCTCCACTTGCAAATTCCGCAAAAAGAGTGTTTCAAATCTGCTCTGTCTAAAGGGACGTTCCACTCTGTGAGTTGAATGCACACAACACAAAGAATTTACTGAGAATTCTTCCGTCTAGCATTCAATGAAGAAATCCCGTTTCCAACGAAGGCCTCAAACAGGTCCATATATCCACTTGCAGACTTTACAAACAGTGTGTTTCCAAACTCCTCTATGAAAAGAAAGGTTAAACTCTGTGAGTGGAACGCACACATCACAAAGCACTTTCTGAGAATGATTCTGTCTGGTTATTATACGAAGATATTTCCTTTTCTGCAATTGTCCTCAAATCGCTTGAAATCTCCACCTGAAAATGCCACAGCAAGAGTGTTTCAAATCTGCTCTCTCTAAAGCAAGGTTCAACTCTGTGAGTTGAATACACACAACACAAAAAAGTTACTGAGAACTCTTCTTAGTCTAGCATGAAAGGAAGAAACCCCGTTTGCAACGAAGGCCTCAAAGAGGTCCAAATATCCACTTGCAGACATAACAAGCAGAGTGTTTCTAAACTGCTCTAAGAAAAGAAAGGTTAAACTCTGTGAGTTGAAGGCACACATCACAAAGTAGTTTCTGAGAATGATTCTGTCTAGTTTTTATTTGAAGATATTTCCTTTTCTACTGTTGGCATCAAATCGCTTGAAATCTCCACTTGCAAACTCCACAAAAAGAGTGTTTCAAATCTGCTCTGTGCAAAGGGACGTTCCACTCTGTGAGTTGAATACACACAGCACAAAGAAGTTACTGAGAATTCTTCTGTCTAGCATGAAATGAAGAAATCCCGTTTCCAACGAAGGCCTCAATGCGGTCCATATATCCACTTGCAGACTTTACAAACAGAGTGTTTCCAAACTGCTCTATGAAAAGAAAGGTTAAACTATGTGAGTTGAACGCACACATCACAAAGAATTTTCTGAGAATGATTCTGTCTGGTTTTTATTTGAAGATATTTCCCTTTCTACTGTTGGCATCAAATGGCTAGAAATCTCCACTTGCAAATTCCGCAAAAAGAGTGTTTCAAATCTGCTCTGTCTAAAGGGACGTTCCACTCTGTGAGTTGAATGCACACAACACAAAGAATTTACTGAGAATTCTTCCGTCTAGCATTCAATGAAGAAATCCCGTTTCCAACGAAGGCCTCAAACAGGTCCATATATCCACTTGCAGACTTTACAAACAGTGTGTTTCCAAACTCCTCTATGAAAAGAAAGGTTAAACTCTGTGAGTGGAACGCACACATCACAAAGCACTTTCTGAGAATGATTCTGTCTGGTTATTATACGAAGATATTTCCTTTTCTGCAATTGTCCTCAAATCGCTTGAAATCTCCACCTGAAAATGCCACAGCAAGAGTGTTTCAAATCTGCTCTCTCTAAAGCAAGGTTCAACTCTGTGAGTTGAATACACACAACACAAAAAAGTTACTGAGAACTCTTCTTAGTCTAGCATGAAAGGAAGAAACCCCGTTTGCAACGAAGGCCTCAAAGAGGTCCAAATATCCACTTGCAGACATAACAAGCAGAGTGTTTCTAAAGTGCTCTAAGAAAAGAAAGGTTAAACTCTGTGAGTTGAAGGCACACATCACAAAGTAGTTTCTGAGAATGATTCTGTCTAGTTTTTATTTGAAGATATTTCCTTTTCTACTGTTGGCATCAAATCGCTTGAAATCTCCACTTGCAAACTCCACAAAAAGAGTGTTTAAAATCTGCTCTGTGCAAAGGGACGTTCCACTCTGTGAGTTGAATACACACAGCACAAAGAAGTTACTGAGAATTCTTCTGTCTAGCATGAAATGAAGAAATCCCGTTTCCAACGAAGGCCTCAATGCGGTCCATATATCCACTTGCAGACTTTACAAACAGAGTGTTTCCAAACTGCTCTATGAAAAGAAAGGTTAAACTATGTGAGTTGAACGCACACATCACAAAGAATTTTCTGAGAATGATTCTGTCTGGTTTTTATTTGAAGATATTTCCCTTTCTACTGTTGGCATCAAATGGCTAGAAATCTCCACTTGCAAATTCCGCAAAAAGAGTGTTTCAAATCTGCTCTGTCTAAAGGGACGTTCCACTCTGTGAGTTGAATGCACACCACACAAAGAATTTACTGAGAATTCTTCCGTCTAGCATTCAATGAAGAAATCCCGTTTCCAACGAAGGCCTTAAACAGGTCCATATATCCAATTGCAGACTTTACAAACAGTGTGTTTCCAAACTCCTCTATGAAAAGAAAGGTTAAACTCTGTGAGTTGAACGCACACATCACAAAGCACTTTCTGAGAATGATTCTGTCTGGTTGTTATACGAAGATATTTCCTTTTCTGCAATTGTCCTCAAATCGCTTGAAATCTCCACCTGAAAATGCCACAGCAAGAGTGTTTCAAATCTGCTCTCTCTAAAGCAAGGTTCAACTCTGTGAGTTGAATACACACAACACAAAAAAGTTACTGAGAACTCTTCTTAGTCTAGAATGAAATGAAGAAACCCCGTTTGCAACGAAGGCCTCAAAGAGGTCCAAATATCCACTTGCAGACATAACAAGCAGAGTGTTTCTAAACTGCTCTATGAAAAGAAAGGTTAAACTCTGTGAGTTGAAGGCACACATCACAAAATAGTTTCTGAGAATGATTCTGTCTAGTTTTTATTTGAAGATATTTCCTTTTCTACTGTTGGCATCAAATCGCTTGAAATCTCCACTTGCAAACTCCACAAAAAGAGTGTTTCAAATCTGCTCTGTGTAAAGGGACGTTCCACTCTGTGAGTTGAATACACACAGCACAAAGAAGTTACTGAGAATTCTTCTGTCTAGCATGAAATGAAGAAATCCCGTTTCCAACGAAGGCCTCAATGCGGTCCATATATCCACTTGCAGACTTTACAAACAGAGTGTTTCCAAACTGCTCTATGAAAAGAAAGGTTAAACTATGTGAGTTGAACGCACACATCACAAAGAATTTTCTGAGAATGATTCTGTCTGGTTTTTATTTGAAGATATTTCACTTTCTACTGTTGGCATCAAATGGCTAGAAATCTCCACTTGCAAATTCCGCAAAAAGAGTGTTTCAAATCTGCTCTGTCTAAAGGGACGTTCCACTCTGTCAGTTGAATGCACACAACACAAAGAATTTACTGAGAATTCTTCCGTCTAGCATTCAATGAAGAAATCCCGTTTCCAAAGAAGGCCTCAAACAGGTCCATATATCCAATTGCAGACTTTACAAACAGTGTGTTTCCAAACTCCTCTATGAAAAGAAAGGTTAAACTCTGTGAGTTGAACGCACACATCACAAAGCACTTTCTGAGAATGATTCTGTCTGGTTATTATACGAAGATATTTCCTTTTCTGCAATTGTCCTCAAATCGCTTGAAATCTCCACCTGAAAATGCCACAGCAAGAGTGTTTCAAATCTGCTCTCTCTAAAGCAAGGTTCAACTCTGTGAGTTGAATACACACAACACAAAAAAGTTACTGAGAACTCTTCTTAGTCTAGCATGAAAGGAAGAAACCCCGTTTGCAACGAAGGCCTCAAAGAGGTCCAAATATCCACTTGCAGACATAACAAGCAGAGTGTTTCTAAACTGCTCTAAGAAAAGAAAGGTTAAACTCTGTGAGTTGAAGGCACACATCACAAAGTAGTTTCTGAGAATGATTCTGTCTAGTTTTTATTTGAAGATATTTCCTTTTCTACTGTTGGCATCAAATCGCTTGAAATCTCCACTTGCAAACTCCACAAAAAGAGTGTTTCAAATCTGCTCTGTGCAAAGGGACGTTCCACTCTGTGAGTTGAATACACACAGCACAAAGAAGTTACTGAGAATTCTTCTGTCTAGCATGAAATGAAGAAATCCCGTTTCCAACGAAGGCCTCAATGCGGTCCATATATCCACTTGCAGACTTTACAAACAGAGTGTTTCCAAACTGCTCTATGAAAAGAAAGGTTAAACTATGTGAGTTGAACGCACACATCACAAAGAATTTTCTGAGAATGATTCTGTCTGGTTTTTATTTGAAGATATTTCCCTTTCTACTGTTGACATCAAATGGCTAGAAATCTCCACTTGCAAATTCCGCAAAAAGAGTGTTTCAAATCTGCTCTGTCTAAAGGGACGTTCCACTCTGTGAGTTGAATGCACACAACACAAAGAATTTACTGAGAATTCTTCCGTCTAGCATTCAATGAAGAAATCCCGTTTCCAACGAAGGCCTCAAACAGGTCCATATATCCAATTGCAGACTTTACAAACAGTGTGTTTCCAAACTCCTCTATGAAAAGAAAGGTTAAACTCTGTGAGTTGAACGCACACATCACAAAGCACTTTCTGAGAATGATTCTGTCTGGTTATTATACGAAGATATTTCCTTTTCTGCAATTGTCCTCAAATCGCTTGAAATCTCCACCTGAAAATGCCACAGCAAGAGTGTTTCAAATCTGCTCTCTCTAAAGCAAGGTTCAACTCTGTGAGTTGAATACACACAACACAAAAAAGTTACTGAGAACTCTTCTTAGTCTAGCATTAAAGGAAGAAACCCCGTTTGCAACGAAGGCCTCAAAGAGGTCC
This sequence comes from Homo sapiens, assembly GCF_000001405.40. Classification (NCBI taxonomy): domain Eukaryota; kingdom Metazoa; phylum Chordata; class Mammalia; order Primates; family Hominidae; genus Homo; species Homo sapiens. The sequence goes on along the minus strand of NC_000007.14, from coordinate 58,416,199 downwards.
AAATATCAACTTGCAGACATAACAAGCAGAGTGTTTCTAAGCTGCTCTAAGAAAAGAAAGGTTAAACTCTGTGAGTTGAAGGCACACATCACAAAGTAGTTTCTGAGAATGATTCTGTCTAGTTTTTATTTGAAGATACTTCGTTTTCTACTGTTGGCATCAAATCGCTTGAAATCTCCACTTGCAAACTCCACAAAAAGAGTGTTTCAAATCTGCTCTGTGCAAAGGGACGTTCCACTCTGTGAGTTGAATACACACAGCACAAAGAAGTTACTGAGAATTCTTCTGTCTAGCATGAAATGAAGAAATCCCGTTTCCAACGAAGGCCTCAATGCGGTCCATAGATCCACTTGCAGACTTTACAAACAGAGTGTTTCCAAACTGCTCTATGAAAAGAAAGGTTAAACTATGTGAGTTGAACGCACACATCACAAAGAATTTTCTGAGAATGATTCTGTCTGGTTTTTATTTGAAGATATTTCCCTTTCTACTGTTGGCATCAAATGGCTAGAAATCTCCACTTGCAAATTCCGCAAAAAGAGTGTTTCAAATCTGCTCTGTCTAAAGGGACGTTCCACTCTGTGAGTTGAATGCACACAACACAAAGAATTTACTGAGAATTCTTCCGCCTAGCATTCAATAAAGAAATCCCGTTTCCAACGAAGGCCTCAAACAGGTCCATATATCCAATTGCAGACTTTACAAACAGTGTGTTTCCAAACTCCTCTATGAAAAGAAAGGTTAAACTCTGTGAGTTGAACGCACACATCACAAAGCACTTTCTGAGAATGATTCTGTCTGGTTATTATACGAAGATATTTCCTTTTCTGCAATTGTCCTCAAATCGCTTGAAATCTCCACCTGAAAATGCCACATCAAGAGTGTTTCAAATCTGCTCTCTCTAAAGCAAGGTTCAACTCTGTGAGTTGAATACACACAACACAAAAAAGTTACTGAGAACTCTTCTTAGTCTAGCATGAAAGGAAGAAACCCCGTTTGCAACGAAGGCCTCAAAGAGGTCCAAATATCCACTTGCAGACATAACAAGCAGAGTGTTTCTAAACTGCTCTAAGAAAAGAAAGGTTAAACTCTGTGAGTTGAAGGCACACATCACAAAGTAGTTTCTGAGAATGATTCTGTCTAGTTTTTATTTGAAGATATTTCCTTTTCTACTGTTGGCATCAAATCGCTTGAAATCTCCACTTGCAAACTCCACAAAAAGAGTGTTTCAAATCTGCTCTGTGTAAAGGGACGTTCCACTCTGTGAGTTGAATACACACAGCACAAAGAAGTTACTGAGAATTCTTCTGTCTAGCATGAAATGAAGAAATCCCGTTTCCAACGAAGGCCTCAATGCGGTCCATATATCCACTTGCAGACTTTACAAACAGAGTGTTTCCAAACTGCTCTATGAAAAGAAAGGTTAAACTATGTGAGTTGAACGCACACATCACAAAGAATTTTCTGAGAATGATTCTGTCTGGTTTTTATTTGAAGATATTTCCCTTTCTACTGTTGGCATCAAATGGCTAGAAATCTCCACTTGCAAATTCCGCAAAAAGAGTGTTTCAAATCTGCTCTGTCTAAAGGGACGTTCCACTCTGTCAGTTGAATGCACACAACACAAAGTATTTACTGAGAATTCTTCCGTCTAGCATTCAATGAAGAAATCCCGTTTCCAACGAAGGCCTCAAACAGGTCCATATATCCAATTGCAGACTTTACAAACAGTGTGTTTCCAAACTCCTCTATGAAAAGAAAGGTTAAACTCTGTGAGTTGAACGCACACATCACAAAGCACTTTCTGAGAATGATTCTGTCTGGTTGTTATACGAAGATATTTCCTTTTCTGCAATTGTCCTCAAATCGCTTGAAATCTCCACCTGAAAATGCCACAGCAAGAGTGTTTCAAATCTGCTCTCTCTAAAGCAAGGTTCAGCTCTGTGAGTTGAATACACACAACACAAAAAAGTTACTGAGAACTCTTCTTAGTCTAGCATGAAAGGAAGAAACCCCGTTTGCAACGAAGGCCTCAAAGAGGTCCAAATATCCACTTGCAGACATAACAAGCAGAGTGTTTCTAAACTGCTCTAAGAAAAGAAAGGTTAAACTCTGTGAGTTGAAGGCACACATCACAAAGTAGTTTCTGAGAATGATTCTGTCTAGTTTTTATTTGAAGATATTTCCTTTTCTACTGTTGGCATCAAATCGCTTGAAATCTCCACTTGCAAACTCCACAAAAAGAGTGTTTCAAATCTGCTCTGTGCAAAGGGACGTTCCACTCTGTGAGTTGAATACACACAGCACAAAGAAGTTACTGAGAATTCTTCTGTCTAGCATGAAATGAAGAAATCCCGTTTCCAACGAAGGCCTCAATGCGGTCCATATATCCACTTGCAGACTTTACAAACAGAGTGTTTCCAAACTGCTCTATGAAAAGAAAGGTTAAACTATGTGAGTTGAACGCACACATCACAAAGAATTTTCTGAGAATGATTCTGTCTGGTTTTTATTTGAAGATATTTCCCTTTCTACTGTTGGCATCAAATGGCTAGAAATCTCCACTTGCAAATTCCGCAAAAAGAGTGTTTCAAATCTGCTCTGTCTAAAGGGATGTTCCACTCTGTGAGTTGAATGCACACAACACAAAGAATTTACTGAGAATTCTTCCGTCTAGCATTCAATGAAGAAATCCCGTTTCCAACGAAGGCCTCAAACAGGTCCATATATCCAATTGCAGACTTTACAAACAGTATGTTTCCAAACTCCTCTATGAAAAGAAAGGTTAAACTCTGTGAGTTGAACGCACACATCACAAAGCACTTTCTGAGAATGATTCTGTCTGGTTGTTATACGAAGATATTTCCTTTTCTGTAATTGTCCTCAAATCGCTTGAAATCTCCACCTGAAAATGCCACAGCAAGAGTGTTTCAAATCTGCTCTCTCTAAAGCAAGGTTCAACTCTGTGAGTTGAATACACACAACACAAAAAAGTTACTGAGAACTCTTCTTAGTCTAGCATGAAAGGAAGAAACCCCGTTTGCAACGAAGGCCTCAAAGAGGTCCAAATATCCACTTGCAGACATAACAAGCAGAGTGTTTCTAAACTGCTCTAAGAAAAGAAAGGTTAAACTCTGTGAGTTGAAGGCACACATCACAAAGTAGTTTCTGAGAATGATTCTGTCTAGTTTTTATTTGAAGATATTTCCTTTTCTACTGTTGGCATCAAATCGCTTGAAATCTCCACTTGCAAATTCCACAAAAAGAGTGTTTCAAATCTGCTCTGTGCAAAGGGACGTTCCACTCTGTGAGTTGAATACACACAGCACAAAGAAGTTACTGAGAATTCTTCTGTCTAGCATGAAATGAAGAAATCCCGTTTCCAACGAAGGCCTCAATGCGGTCCATATATCCACTTGCAGACTTTACAAACAGAGTGTTTCCAAACTGCTCTATGAAAAGAAAGGTTATACTATGTGAGTTGAACGCACACATCACAAAGAATTTTCTGAGAATGATTCTGTCTGGTTTTTATTTGAAGATATTTCCCTTTCTACTGTTGGCATCAAATGGCTAGAAATCTCCACTTGCAAATTCCGCAAAAAGAGTGTTTCAAATCTGCTCTGTCTAAAGGGACGTTCCACTCTGTGAGTTGAATGCACACAACACAAAGAATTTACTGAGAATTCTTCCGTCTAGCATTCAATGAAGAAATCCCGTTTCCAACGAAGGCCTCAAACAGGTCCATATATCCACTTGCAGACTTTACAAACAGTGTGTTTCCAAACTCCTCTATGAAAAGAAAGGTTAAACTCTGTGAGTGGAACGCACACATCACAAAGCACTTTCTGAGAATGATTCTGTCTGGTTATTATACGAAGATATTTCCTTTTCTGCAATTGTCCTCAAATCGCTTGAAATCTCCACCTGAAAATGCCACAGCAAGAGTGTTTCAAATCTGCTCTCTCTAAAGCAAGGTTCAACTCTGTGAGTTGAATACACACAACACAAAAAAGTTACTGAGAACTCTTCTTAGTCTAGCATGAAAGGAAGAAACCCCGTTTGCAACGAAGGCCTCAAAGAGGTCCAAATATCCACTTGCAGACATAACAAGCAGAGTGTTTCTAAACTGCTCTAAGAAAAGAAAGGTTAAACTCTGTGAGTTGAAGGCACACATCACAAAGTAGTTTCTGAGAATGATTCTGTCTAGTTTTTATTTGAAGATATTTCCTTTTCTACTGTTGGCATCAAATCGCTTGAAATCTCCACTTGCAAATTCCACAAAAAGAGTGTTTCAAATCTGCTCTGTGCAAAGGGACGTTCCACTCTGTGAGTTGAATACACACAGCACAAAGAAGTTACTGAGAATTCTTCTGTCTAGCATGAAATGAAGAAATCCCGTTTCCAACGAAGGCCTCAATGCGGTCCATAGATCCACTTGCAGACTTTACAAACAGAGTGTTTCCAAACTGCTCTATGAAAAGAAAGGTTAAACTATGTGAGTTGAACGCACACATCACAAAGAATTTTCTGAGAATGATTCTGTCTGGTTTTTATTTGAAGATATTTCCCTTTCTACTGTTGGCATCAAATGGCTAGAAATCTCCACTTGCAAATTCCGCAAAAAGAGTGTTTCAAATCTGCTCTGTCTAAAGGGACGTTCCACTCTGTGAGTTGAATGCACACCACACAAAGAATTTACTGAGAATTCTTCCGTCTAGCATTCAATGAAGAAATCCCGTTTCCAACGAAGGCCTCAAACAGGTCCATATATCCAATTGCAGACTTTACAAACAGTGTGTTTCCAAACTCCTCTATGAAAAGAAAGGTTAAACTCTGTGAGTTGAACGCACACATCACAAAGCACTTTCTGAGAATGATTCTGTCTGGTTGTTATACGAAGATATTTCCTTTTCTGCAATTGTCCTCAAATCGCTTGAAATCTCCACCTGAAAATGCCACAGCAAGAGTGTTTCAAATCTGCTCTCTCTAAAGCAAGGTTCAACTCTGTGAGTTGAATACACACAACACAAAAAAGTTACTGAGAACTCTTCTTAGTCTAGCATGAAAGGAAGAAACCCCGTTTGCAACGAAGGCCTCAAAGAGGTCCAAATATCCAGTTGCAGACATAACAAGCAGAGTGTTTCTAAACTGCTCTAAGAAAAGAAAGGTTAAACTCTGTGAGTTGAAGGCACACATCACAAAGTAGTTTCTGAGAATGGTTCTGTCTAGTTTTTATTTGAAGATATTTCCTTTTCTACTGTTGGCATCAAATCGCTTGAAATCTCCACTTGCAAATTCCACAAAAAGAGTGTTTCAAATCTGCTCTGTGCAAAGGGACGTTCCACTCTGTGAGTTGAATACACACAGCACAAAGAAGTTACTGAGAATTCTTCTGTCTAGCATGAAATGAAGAAATCCCGTTTCCAACGAAGGCCTCAATGCGGTCCATATATCCACTTGCAGACTTTACAAACAGAGTGTTTCCAAACTGCTCTATGAAAAGAAAGGTTAAACTATGTGAGTTGAACGCACACATCACAAAGAATTTTCTGAGAATGATTCTGTCTGGTTTTTATTTGAAGATATTTCCCTTTCTACTGTTGGCATCAAATGGCTAGAAATCTCCACTTGCAAATTCCGCAAAAAGAGTGTTTCAAATCTGCTCTGCCTAAAGGGACGTTCTACTCTGTGAGTTGAATGCACACAACACAAAGAATTTACTGAGAATTCTTCCGTCTAGCATTCAATGAAGAAATCCCGTTTCCAACGAAGGCCTCAAACAGGTCCATATATCCACTTGCAGACTTTACAAACAGTGTGTTTCCAAACTCCTCTATGAAAAGAAAGGTTAAACTCTGTGAGTGGAACGCACACATCACAAAGCACTTTCTGAGAATGATTCTGTCTGGTTATTATACGAAGATATTTCCTTTTCTGCAATTGTCCTCAAATCGCTTGAAATCTCCACCTGAAAATGCCACAGCAAGAGTGTTTCAAATCTGCTCTCTCTAAAGCAAGGTTCAACTCTGTGAGTTGAATACACACAACACAAAAAAGTTACTGAGAACTCTTCTTAGTCTAGCATTAAAGGAAGAAACCCTGTTTGCAACGAAGGCCTCAAAGAGGTCCAAATATCCACTTGCAGACATAACAAGCAGAGTGTTTCTAAACTGCTCTAAGAAAAGAAAGGTTAAACTCTGTGAGTTGAAGGCACACATCACAAAGTAGTTTCTGAGAATGATTCTGTCTAGTTTTTATTTGAAGATATTTCATTTTCTACTGTTGGCATCAAATCGCTTGAAATCTCCACTTGCAAACTCCACAAAAAGAGTGTTTCAAATCTGCTCTGTGTAAAGGGACGTTCCACTCTGTGAGTTCAATACACACAGCACAAAGAAGTTACTGAGAATTCTTCTGTCTAGCATGAAATGAAGAAATCCCGTTTCCAACGAAGGCCTCAATGCGGTCCATATATCCACTTGCAGACTTTACAAACAGAGTGTTTCCAAACTGCTCTATGAAAAGAAAGGTTAAACTATGTGAGTTGAACGCACACATCACAAAGAATTTTCTGAGAATGATTCTGTCTGGTTTTTATTTGAAGATATTTCCCTTTCTACTGTTGGCATCAAATGGCTAGAAATCTCCACTTGCAAATTCCGCAAAAAGAGTGTTTCAAATCTGCTCTGTCTAAAGGGACGTTCCACTCTGTGAGTTGAATGCACACAACACAAAGAATTTACTGAGAATTCTTCCGTCTAGCATTCAATGAAGAAATCCCGTTTCCAACGAAGGCCTCAAACAGGTCCATATATCCAATTGCAGACTTTACAAACAGTGTGTTTCCAAACTCCTCTATGAAAAGAAAGGTTAAACTCTGTGAGTTGAACGCACACATCACAAAGCACTTTCTGAGAATGATTCTGTCTGGTTATTATACGAAGATATTTCCTTTTCTGCAATTGTCCTCAAATCGCTTGAAATCTCCACCTGAAAATGCCACAGCAAGAGTGTTTCAAATCTGCTCTCTCTAAAGCAAGGTTCAACTCTGTGAGTTGAATACACACAACACAAAAAAGTTACTGAGAACTCTTCTTAGTCTAGCATGAAAGGAAGAAACCCCGTTTGCAACGAAGGCCTCAAAGAGGTCCAAATATCCACTTGCAGACATAACAAGCAGAGTGTTTCTAAACTGCTCTAAGAAAAGAAAGGTTAAACTCTGTGAGTTGAAGGCACACATCACAAAGTAGTTTCTGAGAATGATTCTGTCTAGTTTTTATTTGAAGATATTTCCTTTTCTACTGTTGGCATCAAATCGCTTGAAATCTCCACTTGCAAATTCCACAAAAAGAGTGTTTCAAATCTGCTCTGTGCAAAGGGACGTTCCACTCTGTGAGTTGAATACACACAGCACAAAGAAGTTACTGAGAATTCTTCTGTCTAGCATGAAATGAAGAAATCCCGTTTCCAACGAAGGCCTCAATGCGGTCCATATATCCACTTGCAGACTTTACAAACAGAGTGTTTCCAAACTGCTCTATGAAAAGAAAGGTTAAACTATGTGAGTTGAACGCACACATCACAAAGAATTTTCTGAGAATGATTCTGTCTGGTTTTTATTTGAAGATATTTCCCTTTCTACTGTTGGCATCAAATGGCTAGAAATCTCCACTTGCAAATTCCGCAAAAAGAGTGTTTCAAATCTGCTCTGTCTAAAGGGACGTTCCACTCTGTGAGTTGAATGCACACAACACAAAGAATTTACTGAGAATTCTTCCGTCTAGCATTCAATGAAGAAATCCCGTTTCCAACGAAAGCCTCTAACAGGTCCATATATCCACTTGCAGACTTTACAAACAGTGTGTTTCCAAACTCCTCTATGAAAAGAAAGGTTAAACTCTGTGAGTTGAACGCACACATCACAAAGCACTTTCTGAGAATGATTCTGTCTGGTTATTATACGAAGATATTTCCTTTTCTGCAATTTTCCTCAAATCGCTTGAAATCTCCACCTGAAAATGCCACAGCAAGAGTGTTTCAAATCTGCTCTCTCTAAAGCAAGGTTCAACTCTGTGAGTTGAATACACACAGCACAAAGAAGTTACTGAGAATTCTTCTGTCTAGCATGAAATGAAGAAATCCCTTTTCCAACGAAGGCCTCAATGCGGTCCATATATCCACTTGCAGACTTTACAAACAGAGTGTTTCCAAACTGCTCTATGAAAAGAAAGGTTAAACTATGTGAGTTGAACGCACACATCACAAAGAATTTTCTGAGAATGATTCTGTCTGGTTTTTATTTGAAGATATTTCCCTTTCTACTGTTGGCATCAAATGGCTAGAAATCTCCACTTGCAAATTCCGCAAAAAGAGTGTTTCAAATCTGCTCTGTCTAAAGGGACGTTCCACTCTGTGAGTTGAATGCACACAACACAAAGAATTTACTGAGAATTCTTCCGTCTAGCATTCAATGAAGAAATCCCGTTTCCAACGAAGGCCTCAAACAGGTCCATATATCCAATTGCAGACTTTACAAACAGTGTGTTTCCAAACTCCTCTATGAAAAGAAAGGTTAAACTCTGTGAGTTGAACGCACACATCACAAAGCACTTTCTGAGAATGATTCTGTCTGGTTATTATACGAAGATATTTCCTTTTCTGCAATTGTCCTCAAATCGCTTGAAATCTCCACCTGAAAATGCCACAGCAAGAGTGTTTCAAATCTGCTCTCTCTAAAGCAAGGTTCAACTCTGTGAGTTGAATACACACAACACAAAAAAGTTGCTGAGAACTCTTCTTAGTCTAGCATTAAAGGAAGAAACCCCGTTTGCAACGAAGGCCTCAAAGAGGTCCAAATATCCACTTGCAGACATAACAAGCAGAGTGTTTCTAAACTGCTCTAAGAAAAGAAAGGTTAAACTCTGTGAGTTGAAGGCACACATCACAAAGTAGTTTCTGAGAATGATTCTGTCTAGTTTTTATTTGAAGATATTTCCTTTTCTACTGTTGGCATCAAATCGCTTGAAATCTCCACTTGCAAACTCCACAAAAAGAGTGTTTCAAATCTGCTCTGTGCAAAGGGACGTTCCACTCTGTGAGTTGAATACACACAGCACAAAGAAGTTACTGAGAATTCTTCTGTCTAGCATGAAATGAAGAAATCCCGTTTCCAACGAAGGCCTCAATGCGGTCCATATATCCACTTGCAGACTTTACAAACAGAGTGTTTCCAAACTGCTCTATGAAAAGAAAGGTTAAACTATGTGAGTTGAACGCACACATCACAAAGAATTTTCTGAGAATGATTCTGTCTGGTTTTTATTTGAAGATATTTCCCTTTCTACTGTTGGCATCAAATGGCTAGAAATCTCCACTTGCAAATTCCGCAAAAAGAGTGTTTCAAATCTGCTCTGTCTAAAGGGACGTTCCACTCTGTGAGTTGAATGCACACAACACAAAGAATTTACTGAGAATTCTTCGGTCTAGCATTCAATGAAGAAATCCCGTTTCCAACGAAGGCCTCAAAGAGGTCCATATATCCACTTGCAGACTTTACAAACAGTGTGTTTCCAAACTCCTCTATGAAAAGAAAGGTTAAACTCTGTGAGTTGAACGCACACATCACAAAGCACTTTCTGAGAATGATTCTGTCTGGTTGTTATACGAAGATATTTCCTTTTCTGCAATTGTCCTCAAATCGCTTGAAATCTCCACCTGAAAATGCCACAGCAAGAGTGTTTCAAATCTGCTCTCTCTAAAGCAAGGTTCAACTCTGTGAGTTGAATACACACAACACAAAAAAGTTACTGAGAACTCTTCTTAGTCTAGCATGAAAGGAAGAAATCCCGTTTGCAACGAAGGCCTCAAAGAGGTCCAAATATCCACTTGCAGACATAACAGGCAGAGTGTTTCTAAACTGCTCTAAGAAAAGAAAGGTTAAACTCTGTGAGTTGAAGGCACACATCACAAAGTAGTTTCTGAGAATGATTCTGTCCAGTTTTTATTTGAAGATATTTCCTTTTCTACTGTTGGCATCAAATCGCTTGAAATCTCCACTTGCAAACTCCACAAAAAGAGTGTTTCAAATCTGCTCTGTGTAAAGGGACGTTCCACTCTGTGAGTTGAATACACACAGCACAAAGAAGTTACTGAGAATTCTTCTGTCTAGCATGAAATGAAGAAATCCCGTTTCCAACGAAAGCCTCAATGCGGTCCATATATCCACTTGCAGACTTTACAAACAGAGTGTTTCCAAACTGCTCTATGAAAAGAAAGGTTAAACTATGTGAGTTGAACGCACACATCACAAAGAATTTTCTGAGAATGATTCTGTCTGGTTTTTATTTGAAGATATTTCCCTTTCTACTGTTGGCATCAAATGGCTAGAAATCTCCACTTGCAAATTCCGCAAAAAGAGTGTTTCAAATCTGCTCTGTCTAAAGGGACGTTCCACTCTGTGAGTTGAATGCACACAACACAAAGAATTTACTGAGAATTCTTCCGTCTAGCATTCAATGAAGAAATCCCGTTTCCAACGAAGGCCTCAAACAGGTCCATATATCCAATTGCAGACTTTACAAACAGTGTGTTTCCAAACTCCTCTATGAAAAGAAAGGTTAAACTCTGTGAGTTGAACGCACACATCACAAAGCACTTTCTGAGAATGATTCTGTCTGGTTATTATACGAAGATATTTCCTTTTCTGCAATTGTCCTCAAATCGCTTGAAATCTCCACCTGAAAATTCCACAGCGAGAGTGTTTCAAATCTGCTCTCTCTAAAGCAAGGTTCAACTCTGTGAGTTGAATACACACAACACAAAAAAGTTACTGAGAACTGTTCTTAGTCTAGCATTAAAGGAAGAAACCCCGTTTGCAACGAAGGCCTCAAAGAGGTCCAAATATCCACTTGCAGACATAACAAGCAGAGTGTTTCTAAACTGCTCTAAGAAAAGAAAGGTTAAACTCTGTGAGTTGAAGGCACACATCACAAAGTAGTTTCTGAGAATGATTCTGTCTAGTTTTTATTTGAAGATATTTCCTTTTCTACTGTTGGCATCAAATCGCTTGAAATCTCCACTTGCAAACTCCACAAAAAGAGTGTTTCAAATCTGCTCTGTGCAAAGGGACGTTCCACTCTGTGAGTTGAATACACACAGCACAAAGAAGTTACTGAGAATTCTTCTGTCTAGCATGAAATGAAGAAATCCCGTTTCCAACGAAGGCCTCAATGCGGTCCATAGATCCACTTGCAGACTTTACAAACAGAGTGTTTCCAAACTGCTCTATGAAAAGAAAGGTTAAACTATGTGAGTTGAACGCACACATCACAAAGAATTTTCTGAGAATGATTCTGTCTGGTTTTTATTTGAAGATATTTCCCTTTCTACTGTTGGCATCAAATGGCTAGAAATCTCCACTTGCAAATTCCGCAAAAAGAGTGTTTCAAATCTGCTCTGTCTAAAGGGACGTTCCACTCTGTGAGTTGAATGCACACAACACAAAGAATTTACTGAGAATCCTTCCGTCTAGCATTCAATGAAGAAATCCCGTTTCCAACGAAGGCCTCAAACAGGTCCATATATCCAATTGCAGACTTTACAAACAGTGTGTTTCCAAACTCCTCTATGAAAAGAAAGGTTAAACTCTGTGAGTTGAACGCACACATCACAAAGCACTTTCTGAGAATGATTCTGTCTGGTTATTATACGAAGATATTTCCTTTTCTGCAATTGTCCTCAAATCGCTTGAAATCTCCACCTGAAAATTCCACAGCGAGAGTGTTTCAAATCTGCTCTCTCTAAAGCAAGGTTCAACTCTGTGAGTTGAATACACACAACACAAAAAAGTTACTGAGAACTCTTCTTAGTCTAGCATTAAAGGAAGAAACCCCGTTTGCAACGAAGGCCTCAAAGAGGTCCAAATATCCACTTGCAGACATAACAAGCAGAGTGTTTCTAAACTGCTCTAAGAAAAGAAAGGTTAAACTCTGTGAGTTGAAGGCACACATCACAAAGTAGTTTCTGAGAATGATTCTGTCTAGTTTTTATTTGAAGATATTTCCTTTTCTACTGTTGGCATCAAATCGCTTGAAATCTCCACTTGCAAACTCCACAAAAAGAGTGTTTCAAATCTGCTCTGTGTAAAGGGACGTTCCACTCTGTGAGTTGAATACACACAGCACAAAGAAGTTACTGAGAATTCTTCTGTCTAGCATGAAATGAAGAAATCCCGTTTCCAACGAAGGCCTCAATGCGGTCCATATATCCACTTGCAGACTTTACAAACAGAGTGTTTCCAAACTGCTCTATGAAAAGAAAGGTTAAACTATGTGAGTTGAACGCACACATCACAAAGAATTTTCTGAGAATGATTCTGTCTGGTTTTTATTTGAAGATATTTCCCTTTCTACTGTTGGCATCAAATGGCTAGAAATCTCCACTTGCAAATTCCGCAAAAAGAGTGTTTCAAATCTGCTCTGTCTAAAGGGACGTTCCACTCTGTGAGTTGAATGCACACAACACAAAGAATTTACTGAGAATTCTTCCGTCTAGCATTCAATGAAGAAATCCCGTTTCCAACGAAGGCCTCAAACAGGTCCATATATCCACTTGCAGAGTTTACAAACAGTGTGTTTCCAAACTCCTCTATGAAAAGAAAGGTTAAACTCTGTGAGTGGAACGCACACATCACAAAGCACTTTCTGAGAATGATTCTGTCTGGTTATTATACGAAGATATTTCCTTTTCTGCAATTGTCCTCAAAACGCTTGAAATCTCCACCTGAAAATGCCACAGCAAGAGTGTTTCAAATCTGCTCTCTCTAAAGCAAGGTTCAACTCTGTGAGTTGAATACACACAACACAAAAAAGTTACTGAGAACTCTTCTTAGTCTAGCATTAAAGGAAGAAACCCCGTTTGCAACGAAGGCCTCAAAGAGGTCCAAATATCCACTTGCAGACATAACAAGCAGAGTGTTTCTAAACTGCTCTAAGAAAAGAAAGGTTAAACTCTGTGAGTTGAAGGCACACATCACAAAGTAGTTTCTGAGAATGATTCTGTCTAGTTTTTATTTGAAGATATTTCCTTTTCTACTGTTGGCATCAAATCGCTTGAAATCTCCACTTGCAAACTCCACAAAAAGAGTGTTTCAAATCTGCTCTGTGTAAAGGGACGTTCCACTCTGTGAGTTGAATACACACAGCACAAAGGAAGTTACTGAGAATTCTTCTGTCTAGCATGAAATGAAGAAATCCCGTTTCCAACGAAGGCCTCAATGCGGTCCATATATCCACTTGCAGACTTTACAAACAGAGTGTTTCCAAACTGCTCTATGAAAAGAAAGGTTAAACTATGTGAGTTGAACGCACACATCACAAAGAATTTTCTGAGAATGATTCTGTCTGGTTTTTATTTGAAGATATTTCCCTTTCTACTGTTGGCATCAAATGGCTAGAAATCTCCACTTGCAAATTCCGCAAAAAGAGTGTTTCAAATCTGCTCTGTCTAAAGGGACGTTCCACTCTGTGAGTTGAATGCACACAACACAAAGAATTTACTGAGAATTCTTCCGTCTAGCATTCAATGAAGAAATCCCGTTTCCAACGAAGGCCTCAAACAGGTCCATATATCCACTTGCAGAGTTTACAAACAGTGTGTTTCCAAACTCCTCTATGAAAAGAAAGGTTAAACTCTGTGAGTGGAACGCACACATCACAAAGCACTTTCTGAGAATGATTCTGTCTGGTTATTATACGAAGATATTTCCTTTTCTGCAATTGTCCTCAAATCGCTTGAAATCTCCACCTGAAAATGCCACAGCAAGAGTGTTTCAAATCTGCTCTCTCTAAAGCAAGGTTCAACTCTGTGAGTTGAATACACACAACACAAAAAAGTTACTGAGAACTCTTCTTAGTCTAGCATGAAAGGAAGAAACCCCGTATGCAACGAAGGCCTCAAAGAGGTCCAAATATCCACTTGCAGACATAACAAGCAGAGTGTTTCTAACCTGCTCTAAGAAAAGAAAGGTTAAACTCTGTGAGTTGAAGGCACACATCACAAAGTAGTTTCTGAGAATGATTCTGTCTAGTTTTTATTTGAAGATATTTCCTTTTCTACTGTTGGCATCAAATCGCTTGAAATCTCCACTTGCAAACTCCACAAAAAGAGTGTTTCAAATCTGCTCTGTGCAAAGGGACGTTCCACTCTGTGAGTTGAATACACACAGCACAAAGAAGTTACTGAGAATTCTTCTGTCTAGCATGAAATGAAGAAATCCCGTTTCCAACGAAGGCCTCAATGCGGTCCATATATCCACTTGCAGACTTTACAAACAGAGTGTTTCCAAACTGCTCTATGAAAAGAAAGGTTAAACTATGTGAGTTGAACGCACACATCACAAAGAATTTTCTGAGAATGATTCTGTCTGGTTTTTATTTGAAGATATTTCCCTTTCTACTGTTGGCATCAAATGGCTAGTAAATCTCCACTTGCAAATTCCGCAAAAAGAGTGTTTCAAATCTGCTCTGTCTAAAGGGACGTTCCACTCTGTGAGTTGAATGCACACCACACAAAGAATTTACTGAGAATTCTTCCGTCTAGCATTATATGATAAAATCCCGTTTCCACCGAAGGCCTCAAACAGGTCCATATATCCACTTGCAGACTTTACAAACAGTGTGTTTCGAAACTCCTCTATGAAAAGAAAGGTTAAACTCTGTGAGTTGAACGCACACATCACAGAGCACTTTCTGAGAATGATTCTGTCTAGTTTTTGTTTGCAGATATTTCCTTTTCTACTGTTGGCATCAAATCGCTTGAAATCTCCACTTGCAAATTCCACAAAAAGAGTGTTTCAAATCTGCTCTGTGTAAAGGGACGTTCCAATCTGTGAGTTGAATACACACAACACAAAGAAGTTACTGAGAATTCTTCTGTCTAGCATGAAATGAAGAAATCCCGTTTCCAACGAAGGCCTCAAAGCGGTCCATATATCCACTTGCAGACATTACCAACAGAGTGTTCCCAAACTGCTCTATGAAAAGAAAGGTTAAACTATGTGAGTTGAACGCACACATCACAAAGAATTTTCTGAGAATGATTCTGTCTGGTTTTTATTTGAAGATATTTCCCTTTCTACTGTTGGCATCAAATGGCTAGAAATCTCCACTTGCAAATTCCGCAAAAAGAGTGTTTCAAATCTGCTCTGTCTAAAGGGACGTTCCACTCTGTGAGTTGAATGCACACAACACAAAGAATTTACTGAGAATTCTTCCGCCTAGCATTCAATGAAGAAATCCCGTTTCCAACGAAGGCCTCAAACAGGTCCATATATCCAATTGCAGACTTTACAAACAGTGTGTTTCCAAACTCCTCTATGAAAAGAAAGGTTAAACTCTGTGAGTTGAACGCACACATCACAAAGCACTTTCTGAGAATGATTCTGTCTGGTTATTATACGAAGATATTTCCTTTTCTGCAATTGTCCTCAAATCGCTTGAAATCTCCACCTGAAAATTCCACAGCGAGAGTGTTTCAAATCTGCTCTCTCTAAAGCAAGGTTCAACTCTGTGAGTTGAATACACACAACACAAAAAAGTTACTGAGAACTCTTCTTAGTCTAGCATTAAAGGAAGAAACCCCGTTTGCAACGAAGGCCTCAAAGAGGTCCAAATATCCACTTGCAGACATAACAAGCAGAGTGTTTCTAAACTGCTCTAAGAAAAGAAAGGTTAAACTCTGTGAGTTGAAGGCACACATCACAAAGTAGTTTCTGAGAATGATTCTGTCTAGTTTTTATTTGAAGATATTTCCTTTTCTACTGTTGGCATCAAATCGCTTGAAATCTCCACTTGCAAACTCCACAAAAAGAGTGTTTCAAATCTGCTCTGTGCAAAGGGACGTTCCACTCTGTGAGTTGAGTACACACAGCACAAAGAAGTTACTGAGAATTCTTCTGTCTAGCATGAAATGAAGAAATCCCGTTTCCAACGAAGGCCTCAATGCGGTCCATATATCCACTTGCAGACTTCACAAACAGAGTGTTTCCAAACTGCTCTATGAAAAGAAAGGTTAAACTATGTGAGTTGAACGCACACATCACAAAGAATTTTCTGAGAATGATTCTGTCTGGTTTTTATTTGAAGATATTTCCCTTTCTACTGTTGGCATCAAATGGCTAGAAATCTCCACTTGCAAATTCCGCAAAAAGAGTGTTTCAAATCTGCTCTGTCTAAAGGGACGTTCCACTCTGTCAGTTGAATGCACACAACACAAAGAATTTACTGAGAATTCTTCCGTCTAGCATTCAATGAAGAAATCCCGTTTCCAACGAAGGCCTCAAACAGGTCCATATATCCACTTGCAGTCTTTACAAACAGTGTGTTTCCAAACTCCTCTATGAAAAGAAAGGTTAAACTCTGTGAGTTGAACGCACACATCACAAAGCACTTTCTGAGAATGATTCTGTCTGGTTATTATACGAAGATATTTCCTTTTCTGCAATTGTCCTCAAATCGCTTGAAATCTCCACCTGAAAATGCCACAGCAAGAGTGTTTCAAATCTGCTCTCTCTAAAGCAAGGTTCAACTCTGTGAGTTGAATACACACAACACAAAAAAGTTACTGAGAACTCTTCTTAGTCTAGCATGAAAGGAAGAAACCCCGTTTGCAACGAAGGCCTCAAAGAGGTCCAAATATCCACTTGCAGACATAACAAGCAGAGTGTTTCTAAACTGCTCTAAGAAAAGAAAGGTTAAACTCTGTGAGTTGAAGGCACACATCACAAAGTAGTTTTTGAGAATGATTCTGTCTAGTTTTTATTTGAAGATATTTCCTTTTCTACTGTTGGCATCAAATCGCTTGAAATCTTCACTTGCAAACTCCACAAAAAGAGTGTTTCAAATCCGCTCTGTGCAAAGGGACGTTCCACTCTGTGAGTTGAATACACACAGCACAAAGAAGTTACTGAGAATTCTTCTGTCTAGCATGAAATGAAGAAATCCCGTTTCCAACGAAGGCCTCAATGCGGTCCATATATCCACTTGCAGACTTTACAAACAGAGTGTTTCCAAACTGCTCCATGAAAGGAAAGGTTAAACTATGTGAGTTGAACGCACACATCACAAAGAATTTTCTGAGAATGATTCTGTCTGGTTTTTATTTGAAGATATTTCCCTTTCTACTGTTGGCATCAAATGGCTAGAAATCTCCACTTGCAAATTCCGCAAAAAGAGTGTTTCAAATCTGCTCTGTCTAAAGGGACGTTCCACTCTGTGAGTTGAATGCACACAACACAAAGAATTTACTGAGAATTCTTCCGTCTAGCATTCAATGAAGAAATCCCGTTTCCAACGAAGGCCTCAAACAGGTCCATATATCCAATTGCAGACTTTACAAACAGTGTGTTTCCAAACTCCTCTATGAAAAGAAAGGTTAAACTCTGTGAGTGGAACGCACACATCACAAAGCACTTTCTGAGAATGATTCTGTCTGGTTGTTATACGAAGATATTTCCTTTTCTGCAATTGTCCTCAAATCGCTTGAAATCTCCACCTGAAAATGTCACAGCAAGAGTGTTTCAAATCTGCTCTCTCTAAAGCAAGGTTCAACTCTGTGAGTTGAATACACACAACACAGAAAAGTTACTGAGAACTCTTCTTAGTCTAGCATGAAAGGAAGAAACCCCGTTTGCAACGAAGGCCTCAAAGAGGTCCAAATATCCACTTGCAGACATAACAAGCAGAGTGTTTCTAAACTGCTCTAAGAAAAGAAAGGTTAAACTCTGTGAGTTGAAGGCACACATCACAAAGTAGTTTCTGAGAATGATTCTGTCTAGTTTTTATTTGAAGATATTTCCTTTTCTACTGTTGGCATCAAATCGCTTGAAATCTCCACTTGCAAATTCCACAAAAAGAGTGTTTCAAATCTGCTCTGTGCAAAGGGACGTTCCCCTCTGTGAGTTGAATACACACAGCACAAAGAAGTTACTGAGAATTCTTCTGTCTAGCATGAAATGAAGAAATCCCGTTTCCAACGAAGGCCTCAATGCGGTCCATATATCCACTTGCAGACTTTACAAACAGAGTGTTTCCAAACTGCTCTATGAAAAGAAAGGTTAAACTATGTGAGTTGAACGCACACATCACAAAGAATTTTCTGAGAATGATTCTGTCTGGTTTTTATTTGAAGATATTTCCCTTTCTACTGTTGGCATCAAATGGCTAGAAATCTCCACTTGCAAATTCCGCAAAAAGAGTGTTTCAAATCTGCTCTGTCTAAAGGGACGTTCCACTCTGTGAGTTGAATGCACACAACACAAAGAATTTACTGAGAATTCTTCCGTCTAGCATTCAATGAAGAAATCCCGTTTCCAACGAAGGCCTCAAACAGGTCCATATATCCAATTGCAGACTTTACAAACAGTGTGTTTCCAAACTCCTCTATGAAAAGAAAGGTTAAACTCTGTGAGTTGAACGCACACATCACAAAGCACTTTCTGAGAATGATTCTGTCTGGTTATTATACGAAGATATTTCCTTTTCTGCAATTGTCCTCAAAACGCTTGAAATCTCCACCTGAAAATGCCACAGCAAGAGTGTTTCAAATCTGCTCTCTCTAAAGCAAGGTTCAACTCTGTGAGTTGAATACACACAACACAAAAAAGTTACTGAGAACTCTTCTTAGTCTAGCATGAAAGGAAGAAACCCCGTTTGCAACGAAGGCCTCAAAGAGGTCCAAATATCCACTTGCAGACATAACAAGCAGAGTGTTTCTAAACTGCTCTAAGAAAAGAAAGGTTAAACTCTGTGAGTTGAAGGCACACATCACAAAGTAGTTTCTGAGAATGATTCTGTCTAGTTTTTATTTGAAGATATTTCCTTTTCTACTGTTGGCATCAAATCGCTTGAAATCTCCACTTGCAAACTCCACAAAAAGAGTGTTTCAAATCTGCTCTGTGCAAAGGGACGTTCCACTCTGTGAGTTGAATACACACAGCACAAAGAAGTTACTGAGAATTCTTCTGTCTAGCATGAAATGAAGAAATCCCGTTTCCAACGAAGGCCTCAATGCGGTCCATATATCCACTTGCAGACTTTACAAACAGAGTGTTTCCAAACTGCTCTATGAAAAGAAAGGTTAAACTATGTGAGTTGAACGCACACATCACAAAGAATTTTCTGAGAATGATTCTGTCTGGTTTTTATTTGAAGATATTTCCCTTTCTACTGTTGGCATCAAATGGCTAGAAATCTCCACTTGCAAATTCCGCAAAAATAGTGTTTCAAATCTGCTCTGTCTAAAGGGACGTTCCACTCTGTGAGTTGAATGCACACAACACAAAGAATTTACTGAGAATTCTTCTGTCTAGCAGTCAATGAAGAAATCCCGTTTCCAACGAAGGCCTCAAACAGGTCCATATATCCAATTGCAGACTTTACAAACAGTGTGTTTCCAAACTCCTCTATGAAAAGAAAGGTTAAACTCTGTGAGTTGAACCCACACATCACAAAGCACTTTCTGAGAATGATTCTGTCTGGTTGTTATACGAAGATATTTCCTTTTCTGCAATTGTCCTCAAATCGCTTGAAATCTCCACCTGAAAATGCCACAGCAAGAGTGTTTCAAATCTGCTCTCTCTAAAGCATGGTTCAACTCTGTGAGTTGAATACACACAACACAAAAAAGTTACTGAGAACTCTTCTTAGTCTAGCATGAAAGGAAGAAACCCCGTTTGCAACGAAGGCCTCAAAGAGGTCCAAATATCCACTTGCAGACATAACAAGCAGAGTGTTTCTAAACTGCTCTAAGAAAAGAAAGGTTAAACTATGTGAGTTGAATGCACACATCACAAAGAATTTTCTGAGAATGATTCTGTCTGGTTTTTATTTGAAGATATTTCCCTTTCTACTGTTGGCATCAAATGGCTAGAAATCTCCACTTGCAAATTCCGCAAAAAGAGTGTTTCAAATCTGCTCTGTCTAAAGGGACGTTCCACTCTGTGAGTTGAATGCACACAACACAAAGAATTTACTGAGAATTCTTCCGTCTAGCATTCAATGAAGAAATCCCGTTTCCAACGAAGGCCTCAAACAGGTCCATATATCCACTTGCAGACTTTACAAACAGTGTGTTTCCAAACTCCTCTATGAAAAGAAAGGTTAAACTCTGTGAGTGGAACGCACACATCACAAAGCACTTTCTGAGAATGATTCTGTCTGGTTGTTATACGAAGATATTTCCTTTTCTGCAATTGTCCTCAAATCGCTTGAAATCTCCACCTGAAAATGCCACAGCAAGAGTGTTTCAAATCTGCTCTCTCTAAAGCAACGTTCAACTCTGTGAGTTGAATACACACAACACAAAAAAGTTACTGAGAACTCTTCTTAGTCTAGCATGAAAGGAAGAAACCCCGTTTGCAACGAAGGCCTCAAAGAGGTCCAAATATCCACTTGCAGACATAACAAGCAGAGTGTTTCTAAACTGCTCTAAGAAAAGAAAGGTTAAACTCTGTGAGTTGAAGGCACACATCACAAAGTAGTTTCTGAGAATGATTCTGTCTAGTTTTTATTTGAAGATATTTCCTTTTCTACTGTTGGCATCAAATCGCTTGAAATCTCCACTTGCAAACTCCACAAAAAGAGTGTTTCAAATCTGCTCTGTGTAAAGGGACGTTCCACTCTGTGAGTTGAATACACACAGCACAAAGAAGTTATTGAGAATTCTTCTGTCTAGCATGAAATGAAGAAATCCCGTTTCCAACGAAGGCCTCAATGCGGTCCATATATCCACTTGCAGACTTTACAAACAGAGTGTTTCCAAACTGCTCTATGAAAAGAAAGGTTAAACTATGTGAGTTGAACGCACACATCACAAAGAATTTTCTGAGAATGATTCTGTCTGGTTTTTATTTGAAGATATTTCCCTTTCTACTGTTGGCATCAAATGGCTAGAAATCTCCACTTGCAAATTCCGCAAAAAGAGTGTTTCAAATCTGCTCTGTCTAAAGGGACGTTCCACTCTGTGAGTTGAATGCACACCACACAAAGAATTTACTGAGAATTCTTCCGTCTAGCATGCAATGAAGAAATCCCGTTTCCAACGAAGGCCTCAAACAGGTCCATATATCCAATTGCAGACTTTACAAACAGTGTGTTTCCAAACTCCTCTATGAAAAGAAAGGTTAAACTCTGTGAGTTGAACGCACACATCACAAAGCACTTTCTGAGAATGATTCTGTCTGGTTGTTATACGAAGATATTTCCTTTTCTGCAATTGTCCTCAAATCGCTTGAAATCTCCACCTGAAAATGCCACAGCAAGAGTGTTTCAAATCTGCTCTCTCTAAAGCAAGGTTCAACTCTGTGAGTTGAATACACACAACACAAAAAAGTTACTGAGAACTCTTCTTAGTCTAGCATGAAAGGAAGAAACCCCGTTTGCAACGAAGGCCTCAAAGAGGTCCAAATATCCACTTGCAGACATAACAAGCAGAGTGTTTCTAAACTGCTCTAAGAAAAGAAAGGTTAAACTCTGTGAGTTGAAGGCACACATCACAAAGTAGTTTCTGAGAATGATTCTGTCTAGTTTTTATTTGAAGATATTTCCTTTTCTACTGTTGGCATCAAATCGCTTGAAATCTCCACTTGCAAACTCCACAAAAAGAGTGTTTCAAATCTGCTCTGTGTAAAGGGACGTTCCACTCTGTGAGTTGAATACACACAGCACAAAGAAGTTACTGAGAATTCTTCTGTCTAGCATGAAATGAAGAAATCCCGTTTCCAACGAAGGCCTCAATGCGGTCCATATATCCACTTGCAGACTTTACAAACAGAGTGTTTCCAAACTGCTCTATGAAAAGAAAGGTTAAACTATGTGAGTTGAACGCACACATCACAAAGAATTTTCTGAGAATGATTCTGTCTGGTTTTTATTTGAAGATATTTCCCTTTCTACTGTTGGCATCAAATGGCTAGAAATCTCCACTTGCAAATTCCGCAAAAAGAGTGTTTCAAATCTGCTCTGTCTAAAGGGACGTTCCACTCTGTCAGTTGAATGCACACAACACAAAGTATTTACTGAGAATTCTTCCGTCTAGCATTCAATGAAGAAATCCCGTTTCCAACGAAGGCCTCAAACAGGTCCATATATCCACTTGCAGACTTTACAAACAGTGTGTTTCCAAACTCCTCTATGAAAAGAAAGGTTAAACTCTGTGAGTGGAACGCACACATCACAAAGCACTTTCTGAGAATGATTCTGTCTGGTTATTATACGAAGGATATTTCCTTTTCTGCCATTGTCCTCAAATCGCTTGAAATCTCCACCTGAAAATTCCACAGCAAGAGTGTTTCAAATCTGCTCTCTCTAAAGCAAGGTTCAACTCTGTGAGTTGAATACACACAACACAAAAAAGTTACTGAGAACTCTTCTTAGTCTAGCATTAAAGGAAGAAACCCCGTTTGCAACGAAGGCCTCAAAGAGGTCCAAATATCCACTTGCAGACATAACAAGCAGAGTGTTTCTAAACTGCTCTAAGAAAAGAAAGGTTAAACTCTGTGAGTTGAAGGCACACATCACAAAGTAGTTTCTGAGAATGATTCTGTCTAGTTTTTATTTGAAGATATTTCCTTTTCTACTGTTGGCATCAAATCGCTTGAAATCTCCACTTGCAAACTCCACAAAAAGAGTGTTTCAAATCTTCTCTGTGTAAAGGGACGTTCCACTCTGTGAGTTGAATACACACAGCACAAAGAAGTTACTGAGAATTCTTCTGTCTAGCATGAAATGAAGAAATCCCGTTTCCAACGAAGGCCTCAATGCGGTCCATATATCCACTTGCAGACTTTACAAACAGAGTGTTTCCAAACTGCTCTATGAAAAGAAAGGTTAAACTATGTGAGTTGAACGCACACATCACAAAGAATTTTCTGAGAATGATTCTGTCTGGTTTTTATTTGAAGATATTTCCCTTTCTACTGTTGGCATCAAATGGCTAGAAATCTCCACTTGCAAATTCCGCAAAAAGAGTGTTTCAAATCTGCTCTGTCTAAAGGGACGTTCCACTCTGTGAGTTGAATGCACACAACACAAAGAATTTACTGAGAATTCTTCCGTCTAGCATTCAATGAAGAAATCCCGTTTCCAACGAAGGCCTCAAACAGGTCCATATATCCACTTGCAGAGTTTACAAACAGTGTGTTTCCAAACTCCTCTATGAAAAGAAAGGTTAAACTCTGTGAGTGGAACGCACACATCACAAAGCACTTTCTGAGAATGATTCTGTCTGGTTGTTATACGAAGATATTTCCTTTTCTGCAATTGTCCTCAAATCGCTTGAAATCTCCACCTGAAAATGCCACAGCAAGAGTGTTTCAAATCTGCTCTCTCTAAAGCAAGGTTCAGCTCTGTGAGTTGAATACACACAACACAAAAAAGTTACTGAGAACTCTTCTTAGTCTAGCATGAAAGGAAGAAACCCCGTTTGCAACGAAGGCCTCAAAGAGGTCCAAATATCCACTTGCAGACATAACAAGCAGAGTGTTTCTAAACTGCTCTAAGAAAAGAAAGGTTAAACTCTGTGAGTTGAAGGCACACATCACAAAGTAGTTTCTGAGAATGATTCTGTCTAGTTTTTATTTGAAGATATTTCCTTTTCTACTGTTGGCATCAAATCGCTTGAAATCTCCACTTGCAAACTCCACAAATAGAGTGTTTCAAATCTGCTCTGTGTAAAGGGACGTTCCACTCTGTGAGTTGAATACACACAGCACAAAGAAGTTACTGAGAATTCTTCTGTCTAGCATGAAAGGAAGAAATCCCGTTTCCAACGAAGGCCTCAATGCGGTCCATATATCCACTTGCAGACTTTACAAACAGAGTGTTTCCAAACTGCTCTATGAAAAGAAAGGTTAAACTATGTGAGTTGAACGCACACATCACAAAGAATTTTCTGAGAATGATTCTGTCTGGTTTTTATTTGAAGATATTTCCCTTTCTACTGTTGGCATCAAATGGCTAGAAATCTCCACTTGCAAATTCCGCAAAAAGAGTGTTTCAAATCTGCTCTGTCTAAAGGGACGTTCCACTCTGTGAGTTGAATGCACACAACACAAAGAATTTACTGAGAATTCTTCCGTCTAGCATTCAATGAAGAAAACCCGTTTCCAACGAAGGCCTCAAACAGGTCCATATATCCACTTGCAGAGTTTACAAACAGTGTGTTTCCAAACTCCTCTATGAAAAGAAAGGTTAAACTCTGTGAGTGGAACGCACACATCACAAAGCACTTTCTGAGAATGATTCTGTCTGGTTATTATACGAAGATATTTCCTTTTCTGCCATTGTCCTCAAATCGCTTGAAATCTCCACCTGAAAATTCCACAGCAAGAGTGTTTCAAATCTGCTCTCTCTAAAGCAAGGTTCAACTCTGTGAGTTGAATACACACAACACAAAAAAGTTACTGAGAACTCTTCTTAGTCTAGCATTAAAGGAAGAAACCCCGTTTGCAACGAAGGCCTCAAAGAGGTCCAAATATCCACTTGCAGACATAACAAGCAGAGTGTTTCTAAACTGCTCTAAGAAAAGAAAGGTTAAACTCTGTGAGTTGAAGGCACACATCACAAAGTAGTTTCTGAGAATGATTCTGTCTAGTTTTTATTTGAAGATATTTCCTTTTCTACTGTTGGCATCAAATCGCTTGAAATCTCCACTTGCAAACTCCACAAAAAGAGTGTTTCAAATCTGCTCTGTGCAAAGGGACGTTCCACTCTGTGAGTTGAATACACACAGCACAAAGAAGTTACTGAGAATTCTTCTGTCTAGCATGAAATGGAGAAATCCCGTTTCCAACGAAGGCCTCAATGCGGTCCATATATCCACTTGCAGACTTTACAAACAGAGTGTTTCCAAACTGGTCTATGAAAAGAAAGGTTAAACTATGTGATTTGAACGCACACATCACAAAGAATTTTCTGAGAATGATTCTGTCTGGTTTTTATTTGAAGATATTTCCCTTTCTACTGTTGGCATCAAATGGCTAGAAATCTCCACTTGCAAATTCCGCAAAAAGAGTGTTTCAAATCTGCTCTGTCTAAAGGGACGTTCCACTCTGTGAGTTGAATGCACACAACACAAAGAATTTACTGAGAATTCTTCCGTCTAGCATTCAATGAAGAAATCCCGTTTCCAACGAAGGCCTCAAACAGGTCCATATATCCACTTGCAGACTTTACAAACAGTGTGTTTCCAAACTCCTCTATGAAAAGAAAGGTTAAACTCTGTGAGTTGAACGCACACATCACAAAGCACTTTCTGAGAATGATTCCGTCTGGTTATTATACGAAGATATTTCCTTTTCTGCAATTGTCCTCAAATCGCTTGAAATCTCCACCTGAAAATGCCACAGCAAGAGTGTTTCAAATCTGCTCTCTCTAAAGCAAGGTTCAACTCTGTGAGTTGAATACACACAACACAAAAAAGTTACTGAGAACTCTTCTTAGTCTAGCATGAAAGGAAGAAACCCCGTTTGCAACGAAGGCCTCAAAGAGGTCCAAATATCCACTTGCAGACATAACAAGCAGAGTGTTTCTAAAGTGCTCTAAGAAAAGAAAGGTTAAACTCTGTGAGTTGAAGGCACACATCACAAAGTAGTTTCTGAGAATGATTTCTGTGCTAGTTTTTATTTGAAGATACTTCCTTTTCTACTGTTGGCATCAAATCGCTTGAAATCTCCACTTGCAAACTCCACAAAAAGAGTGTTTCAAATCTGCTCTGTGCAAAGGGACGTTCCACTCTGTGAGTTGAATACACACAGCACAAAGAAGTTACTGAGAATTCTTCTGTCTAGCATGAAATGAAGAAATCCCGTTTCCAACGAAGGCCTCAATGCGGTCCATATATCCACTTGCAGACTTTACAAACAGAGTGTTTCCAAACTGCTCTATGAAAAGAAAGGTTAAACTATGTGAGTTGAACGCACACATCACAAAGAATTTTCTGAGAATGATTCTGTCTGGTTTTTATTTGAAGATATTTCCCTTTCTACTGTTGGCATCAAATGGCTAGAAATCTCCACTTGCAAATTCCGCAAAAAGAGTGTTTCAAATCTGCTCTGTCTAAAGGGACGTTCCACTCTGTGAGTTGAATGCACACAACACAAAGAATTTACTGAGAATTCTTCCGTCTAGCATTCAATGAAGAAATCCCGTTTCCAACGAAGGCCTCAAACAGGTCCATATATCCAATTGCAGACTTTACAAACAGTGTGTTTCCAAACTCCTCTATGAAAAGAAAGGTTAAACTCTGTGAGTTGAACGCACACATCACAAAGCACTTTCTGTGAATGATTCTGTCTGGTTGTTATACGAAGATATTTCCTTTTCTGCAATTGTCCTCAAATCGCTTGAAATCTCCACCTGAAAATGCCACAGCAAGAGTGTTTCAAATCTGCTCTCTCTAAAGCAAGGTTCAACTCTGTGAGTTGAATACACACAACACAAAAAAGTTACTGAGAACTCTTCTTAGTCTAGCATTAAAGGAAGAAACCCCGTTTGCAACGAAGGCCTCAAAGAGGTCCAAATATCCACTTGCAGACATAACAAGCAGAGTGTTTCTAAACTGCTCTAAGAAAAGAAAGGTTAAACTCTGTGAGTTGAAGGCACACATCACAAAGTAGTTTCTGAGAATGATTCTGTCTAGTTTTTATTTGAAGATATTTCCTTTTCTACTGTTGGCATCAAATCGCTTGAAATCTCCACTTGCAAATTCCACAAAAAGAGTGTTTCTAATCTGCTCTGTGCAAAGGGACGTTCCACTCTGTGAGTTGAATACACACAGCACAAAGAAGTTACTGAGAATTCTTCTGTCTAGCATGAAATGAAGAAATCCCGTTTCCAACGAAGGCCTCAATGCGGTCCATATATCCACTTGCAGACTTTACAAACAGAGTGTTTCCAAACTGCTCTATGAAAAGAAAGGTTAAACTATGTGAGTTGAACGCACACATCACAAAGAATTTTCTGAGAATGATTCTGTCTGGTTTTTATTTGAAGATATTTCCCTTTCTACTGTTGGCATCAAATGGCTAGAAATCTCCACTTGCAAATTCCGCAAAAAGAGTGTTTCAAATCTGCTCTGTCTAAAGGGACGTTCCACTCTGTGAGTTGAATGCACACAACACAAAGAATTTACTGAGAATTCTTCTGTCTAGCATTCAATGAAGAAATCCCGTTTCCAACGAAGGCCTCAAACAGGTCCATATATCCAATTGCAGACTTTACAAACAGTGTGTTTCCAAACTCCTCTATGAAAAGAAAGGTTAAACTCTGTGAGTTGAACGCACACATCACAAAGCACTTTCTGAGAATGATTCTGTCTGGTTATTATACGAAGATATTTCCTTTTCTGCAATTGTCCTCAAATCGCTTGAAATCTCCACCTGAAAATGCCACAGCAAGAGTGTTTCAAATCTGCTCTCTCTAAAGCAAGGTTCAACTCTGTGAGTTGAATACACACAACACAAAAAAGTTACTGAGAACTCTTCTTAGTCTAGCATGAAAGGAAGAAACCCCGTTTGCAACGAAGGCCTCAAAGAGGTCCAAATATCCACTTGCAGACATAACAAGCAGAGTGTTTCTAAACTGCTCTAAGAAAAGAAAGGTTAAACTCTGTGAGTTGAAGGCACACATCACAAAGTAGTTTCTGAGAATGATTCTGTCTAGTTTTTATTTGAAGATATTTCTTTTTCTACTGTTGGCATCAAATCGCTTGAAATCTCCACTTGCAAATTCCACAAAAAGAGTGTTTCAAATCTGCTCTGTGTAAAGGGACGTTCCACTCTGTGAGTTGAATACACACAGCACAAAGAAGTTACTGAGAATTCTTCTGTCTAGCATGAAATGAAGAAATCCCGTTTCCAACGAAGGCCTCAATGCGGTCCATATATCCACTTGCAGACTTTACAAACAGAGTGTTTCCAAACTGCTCTATGAAAAGAAAGGTTAAACTATGTGAGTTGAACGCACACATCACAAAGAATTTTCTGAGAATGATTCTGTCTGGTTTTTATTTGAAGATATTTCCCTTTCTACTGTTGGCATCAAATGGCTAGAAATCTCCACTTGCAAATTCCGCAAAAAGAGTGTTTCAAATCTGCTCTGTCTAAAGGGACGTTCCACTCTGTGAGTTGAATGCACACAACACAAAGAATTTACTGAGAATTCTTCCGTCTAGCATTCAATGAAGAAATCCCGTTTCCAACGAAGGCCTCAAACAGGTCCATATATCCACTTGCAGACTTTACAAACAGTGTGTTTCCAAACTCCTCTATGAAAAGAAAGGTTAAACTCTGTGAGTGGAACGCACACATCACAAAGCACTTTCTGAGAATGATTCTGTCTGGTTATTATACGAAGATATTTCCTTTTCTGCAATTGTCCTCAAATCGCTTGAAATCTCCACCTGAAAATGCCACAGCAAGAGTGTTTCAAATCTGCTCTCTCTAAAGCAAGGTTCAACTCTGTGAGTTGAATACACACAACACAAAAAAGTTACTGAGAACTCTTCTTAGTCTAGCATGAAAGGAAGAAACCCCGTTTGCAACGAAGGCCTCAAAGAGGTCCAAATATCCACTTGCAGACATAACAAGCAGAGTGTTTCTAAACTGCTCTATGAAAAGAAAGGTTAAACTCTGTGAGTTGAAGGCACACATCACAAAGTAGTTTCTGAGAATGATTCTGTCTAGTTTTTATTTGAAGATATTTCCTTTTCTACTGTTGGCATCAAATCGCTTGAAATCTCCACTTGCAAACTCCACAAAAAGAGTGTTTAAAATCTGCTCTGTGCAAAGGGACGTTCCACTCTGTGAGTTGAATACACACAGCACAAAGAAGTTACTGAGAATTCTTCTGTCTAGCATGAAATGAAGAAATCCCGTTTCCAACGAAGGCCTCAATGCGGTCCATATATCCACTTGCAGACTTTACAAACAGAGTGTTTCCAAACTGCTCTATGAAAAGAAAGGTTAAACTATGTGAGTTGAACGCACACATCACAAAGAATTTTCTGAGAATGATTCTGTCTGGTTTTTATTTGAAGATATTTCCCTTTCTACTGTTGGCATCAAATGGCTAGAAATCTCCACTTGCAAATTCCGCAAAAAGAGTGTTTCAAATCTGCTCTGTCTAAAGGGACGTTCCACTCTGTGAGTTGAATGCACACAACACAAAGAATTTACTGAGAATTCTTCCGTCTAGCATTCAATGAAGAAATCCCGTTTCCAACGAAGGCCTCAAACAGGTCCATATATCCAATTGCAGACTTTACAAACAGTGTGTTTCCAAACTCCTCTATGAAAAGAAAGGTTAAACTCTGTGAGTTGAACGCACACATCACAAAGCACTTTCTGAGAATGATTCTGTCTGGTTGTTATACGAAGATATTTCCTTTTCTGTAATTGTCCTCAAATCGCTTGAAATCTCCACCTGAAAATGCCACAGCAAGAGTGTTTCAAATCTGCTCTCTCTAAAGCAAGGTTCAACTCTGTGAGTTGAATACACACAACACAAAAAAGTTACTGAGAACTCTTCTTAGTCTAGCATTAAAGGAAGAAACCCCGTTTGCAACGAAGGCCTCAAAGAGGTCCAAATATCCACTTGCAGACATAACAAGCAGAGTGTTTCTAAACTGCTCTAAGAAAAGAAAGGTTAAACTCTGTGAGTTGAAGGCACACATCACAAAGTAGTTTCTGAGAATGATTCTGTCTAGTTTTTATTTGAAGATATTTCCTTTTCTACTGTTGGCATCAAATCGCTTGAAATCTCCACTTGCAAATTCAACAAAAAGAGTGTTTCAAATCTGCTCTGTGTAAAGGGACGTTCCACTCTGTGAGTTGAATACACACAGCACAAAGAAGTTACTGAGAATTCTTCTGTCTAGCATGAAATGAAGAAATCCCGTTTCCAACGAAGGCCTCAATGCGGTCCATATATCCACTTGCAGACTTTACAAACAGAGTGTTTCCAAACTGCTCTATGAAAAGAAATGTTAAACTATGTGAGTTGAACGCACACATCACAAAGAATTTTCTGAGAATGATTCTGTCTGGTTTTTATTTGAAGATATTTCCCTTTCTACTGTTGGCATCAAATGGCTAGAAATCTCCACTTGCAAATTCCGCAAAAAGAGTGTTTCAAATCTGCTCTGTCTAAAGGGACGTTCCACTCTGTGAGTTGAATGCACACAACACAAAGAATTTACTGAGAATTCTTCCGTCTAGCATTCAATGAAGAAATCCCGTTTCCAACGAAGGCCTCAAACAGGTCCATATATCCACTTGCAGACTTTACAAACAGTGTGTTTCCAAACTCCTCTCTGAAAAGAAAGGTTAAACTCTGTGAGTTGAACGCACACATCACAAAGCACTTTCTGAGAATGATTCTGTCTGGTTATTATACGAAGATATTTCCTTTTCTGCAATTGTCCTCAAATCGCTTGAAATCTCCACCTGAAAATGCCACAGCAAGAGTGTTTCAAATCTGCTCTCTCTAAAGCAAGGTTCAACTCTGTGAGTTGAATACACACAACACAAAAAAGTTACTGAGAACTCTTCTTAGTCTAGCATGAAAGGAAGAAACCCCGTTTGCAACGAAGGCCTCAAAGAGGTCCAAATATCCACTTGCAGACATAACAAGCAGAGTGTTTCTAAACTGCTCTAAGAAAAGAAAGGTTAAACTCTGTGAGTTGAAGGCACACATCACAAAGTAGTTTCTGAGAATGATTCTGTCTAGTTTTTATTTGAAGATATTTCCTTTTCTACTGTTGGCATCAAATCGCTTGAAATCTCCACTTGCAAACTCCACAAAAAGAGTGTTTCAAATCTGCTCTGTGTAAAGGGACGTTCCACTCTGTGAGTTGAATACACACAGCACAAAGAAGTTACTGAGAATTCTTCTGTCTAGCATGAAATGAAGAAATCCCGTTTCCAACGAAGGCCTCAATGCGGTCCATATATCCACTTGCAGACTTTACAAACAGAGTGTTTCCAAACTGCTCTATGAAAAGAAAGGTTAAACTATGTGAGTTGAACGCACACATCACAAAGAATTTTCTGAGAATGATTCTGTCTGGTTTTTATTTGAAGATATTTCCCTTTCTACTGTTGGCATCAAATGGCTAGAAATCTCCACTTGCAAATTCCGCAAAAAGAGTGTTTCAAATCTGCTCTGTCTAAAGGGACGTTCCACTCTGTGAGTTGAATGCACACAACACAAAGAATTTACTGAGAATTCTTCCGTCTAGCATTCAATGAAGAAATCCCGTTTCCAACGAAGGCCTCAAAGAGGTCCATATATCCACTTGCAGACTTTACAAACAGTGTGTTTCCAAACTCCTCTATGAAAAGAAAGGTTAAACTCTGTGAGTGGAACGCACACATCACAAAGCACTTTCTGAGAATGATTCTGTCTGGTTGTTATACGAAGATATTTCCTTTTCTGCAATTGTCCTCAAATCGCTTGAAATCTCCACCTGAAAATGCCACAGCAAGAGTGTTTCAAATCTGCTCTCTCTAAAGCAAGGTTCAGCTCTGTGAGTTGAATACACACAACACAAAAAAGTTACTGAGAACTCTTCTTAGTCTAGCATTAAAGGAAGAAACCCCGTTTGCAACGAAGGCCTCAAAGAGGTCCAAGTATCCACTTGCAGACATAACAAGCAGAGTGTTTCTAAACTGCTCTAAGAAAAGAAAGGTTAAACTCTGTGAGTTGAAGGCACACATCACAAAGTAGTTTCTGAGAATGATTCTGTCTAGTTTTTATTTGAAGATATTTCCTTTTCTACTGTTGGCATCAAATCGCTTGAAATCTCCACTTGCAAATTCCACAAAAAGAGTGTTTCAAATCTGCTCTGTGCAAAGGGACGTTCCACTCTGTGAGTTGAATACACACAGCACAAATAAGTTACTGAGAATTCTTCTGTCTAGCATGAAATGAAGAAATCCCGTTTCCAACGAAGGCCTCAATGCGGTCCATATATCCACTTGCAGACTTTACAAACAGAGTGTTTCCAAACTGCTCTATGAAAAGAAAGGTTAAACTATGTGAGTTGAACGCACACATCACAAAGAATTTTCTGAGAATGATTCTGTCTGGTTTTTATTGGAAGATATTTCCCTTTCTACTGTTGGCATCAAATGGCTAGAAATCTCCACTTGCAAATTCCGCAAAAAGAGTGTTTCAAATCTGCTCTGTCTAAAGGGATGTTCCACTCTGTGAGTTGAATGCACACAACACAAAGAATTTACTGAGAATTCTTCCGTCTAGCATTCAATGAAGAAATCCCGTTTCCAACGAAGGCCTCAAACAGGTCCATATATCCAATTGCAGACTTTACAAACAGTGTGTTTCCAAACTCCTCTATGAAAAGAAAGGTTAAACTCTGTGAGTTGAACGCACACATCACAAAGCACTTTCTGAGAATGATTCTGTCTGGTTGTTATACGAAGATATTTCCTTTTCTGTAATTGTCCTCAAATCGCTTGAAATCTCCACCTGAAAATGCCACAGCAAGAGTGTTTCAAATCTGCTCTCTCTAAAGCAAGGTTCAACTCTGTGAGTTGAATACACACAACACAAAAAAGTTACTGAGAACTCTTCTTAGTCTAGCATTAAAGGAAGAAACCCCGTTTGCAACGAAGGCCTCAAAGAGGTCCAAATATCCACTTGCAGACATAACAAGCAGAGTGTTTCTAAACTGCTCTAAGAAAAGAAAGGTTAAACTCTGTGAGTTGAAGGCACACATCACAAAGTAGTTTCTAAATGATTCTGTCTAGTTTTTATTTGAAGATATTTCCTTTTCTACTGTTGGCATCAAATCGCTTGAAATCTCCACTTGCAAATTCCACAAAGAGTGTTTCAAATCTGCTCTGTGCAAAGGGACGTTCCACTCCTGTGAGTTGAATACACACAGCACAAAGAAGTTACTGAGAATTCTTCTGTCTAGCATGAAATGAAGAAATCCCGTTTCCAACGAAGGCCTCAATGCGGTCCATATATCCACTTGCAGACTTTACAAACAGAGTGTTTCCAAACTGCTCTATGAAAAGAAAGGTTAAACTATGTGAGTTGAACGCACACATCACAAAGAATTTTCTGAGAATGATTCTGTCTGGTTTTTATTTGAAGATATTTCCCTTTCTACTGTTGGCATCAAATGGCTAGAAATCTCCACTTGCAAATTCCGCAAAAAGAGTGTTTCAAATCTGCTCTGTCTAAAGGGACGTTCCTCTCTGTCAGTTGAATGCACACAACACAAAGAATTTACTGAGAATTCTTCCGTCTAGCATTCAATGAAGAAATCCCGTTTCCAACGAAGGCCTCAAACAGGTCCATATATCCACTTGCAGACTTTACAAACAGTGTGTTTCCAAACTCCTCTATGGAAAGAAAAGTTAAACTCTGTGAGTTGAACGCACACATCACAAAGCACTTTCTGAGAATGATTCTGTCTGGTTATTATACGAAGATATTTCCTTTTCTGCAATTGTCCTCAAAACGCTTGAAATCTCCACCTGAAAATGCCACAGCAAGAGTGTTTCAAATCTGCTCTCTCTAAAGCAAGGTTCAACTCTGTGAGTTGAATACACACAACACAAAAAAGTTACTGAGAACTCTTCTTAGTCTAGCATTAAAGGAAGAAACCCCGTTTGCAACGAAGGCCTCAAAGAGGTCCAAATATCCACTTGCAGACATAACAAGCAGAGTGTTTCTAAACTGCTCTAAGAAAAGAAAGTTTAAACTCTGTGAGTTGAAGGCACACATCACAAAGTAGTTTCTGAGAATGATTCTGTCTAGTTTTTATTTGAAGATATTTCCTTTTCTACTGTTGGCATCAAATCGCTTGAAATCTCCACTTGCAAACTCCACAAAAAGAGTGTTTCAAATCTGCTCTGTGTAAAGGGACGTTCCACTCTGTGAGTTGAATACACACAGCACAAAGAAGTTACTGAGAATTCTTCTGTCTAGCATGAAATGAAGAAATCCCGTTTCCAACGAAGGCCTCAATGCGGTCCATATATCCACTTGCAGACTTTACAAACAGAGTGCTTCCAAACTGCTCTATGAAAAGAAAGGTTAAACTATGTGAGTTGAACGCACACATCACAAAGAATTTTCTGAGAATGATTCTGTCTGGTTTTTATTTGAAGATATTTCCCTTTCTACTGTTGGCATCAAATGGCTAGAAATCTCCACTTGCAAATTCCGCAAAAAGAGTGTTTCAAATCTGCTCTGTCTAAAGGGACGTTCCACTCTGTGAGTTGAATGCACACAACACAAAGAATTTACTGAGAATTCTTCCGTCTAGCATTCAATGAAGAAATCCCGTTTCCAACGAAGGCCTCAAACAGGTCCATATATCCACTTGCAGACTTTACAAACAGTGTGTTTCCAAACTCCTCTATGAAAAGAAAGGTTAAACTCTGTGAGTTGAACGCACACATCACAAAGCACTTTCTGAGAATGATTCTGTCTGGTTATTATACGAAGATATTTCCTTTTCTGCAATTGTCCTCAAATCGCTTGAAATCTCCACCTGAAAATGCCACAGCAAGAGTGTTTCAAATCTGCTCTCTCTAAAGCAAGGTTCAACTCTGTGAGTTGAATACACACAACACAAAAAAGTTACTGAGAACTCTTCTTAGTCTAGCATGAAAGGAAGAAACCCCGTTTGCAACGAAGGCCTCAAAGAGGTCCAAATATCCACTTGCAGACATAACAAGCAGAGTGTTTCTAAACTGCTCTAAGAAAAGAAAGGTTAAACTCTGTGAGTTGAAGGCACACATCACAAAGTAGTTTCTGAGAATGATTCTGTCTAGTTTTTATTTGAAGATATTTCCTTTTCTACTGTTGGCATAAAATCGCTTGAAATCTCCACTTGCAAACTCCACAAAAAGAGTGTTTCAAATCTGCTCTGTGCAAAGGGACGTTCCACTCTGTGAGTTGAATACACACAGCACAAAGAAGTTACTGAGAATTCTTCTGTCTAGCATGAAATGAAGAAATCCCGTTTCCAACGAAGGCCTCAATGCGGTCCATATATCCACTTGCAGACTTTACAAACAGAGTGTTTCCAAACTGCTCTATGAAAAGAAAGGTTAAACTATGTGAGTTGAACGCACACATCACAAAGAATTTTCTGAGAATGATTCTGTCTGGTTTTTATTTGAAGATATTTCCCTTTCTACTGTTGGCATCAAATGGCTAGAAATCTCCACTTGCAAATTCCGCAAAAAGAGTGTTTCAAATCTGCTCTGTCTAAAGGGACGTTCCACTCTGTGAGTTGAATGCACACAACACAAAGAATTTACTGAGAATTCTTCCGTCTAGCATTCAATGAAGAAATCCCGTTTCCAACGAAGGCCTCAAACAGGTCCATATATCCAATTGCAGACTTTACAAACAGTGTGTTTCCAAACTCCTCTATGAAAAGAAAGGTTAAACTCTGTGAGTTGAACGCACACATCACAAAGCACTTTCTGAGAATGATTCTGTCTGGTTATTATACGAAGATATTTCCTTTTCTGCAATTGTCCTCAAATCGCTTGAAATCTCCACCTGAAAATGCCACAGCAAGAGTGTTTCAAATCTGCTCTCTCTAAAGCAAGGTTCAACTCTGTGAGTTGAATACACACAACACAAAAAAGTTACTGAGAACTCTTCTTAGTCTAGCATTAAAGGAAGAAACCCTGTTTGCAACGAAGGCCTCAAAGAGGTCCAAATATCCACTTGCAGACATAACAAGCAGAGTGTTTCTAAACTGCTCTAAGAAAAGAAAGGTTAAACTCTGTGAGTTGAAGGCACACATCACAAAGTAGTTTCTGAGAATGATTCTGTCTAGTTTTTATTTGAAGATATTTCCTTTCCTACTGTTGGCATTAAATCGCTTGAAATCTCCACTTGCAAACTCCACAAAAAGAGTGTTTCAAATCTGCTCTGTGCAAAGGGACGTTCCACTCTGTGAGTTGAATACACACAGCACAAAGAAGTTACTGAGAATTCTTCTGTCTAGCATGAAATGAAGAAATCCCGTTTCCAACGAAGGCCTCAATGCGGTCCATATATCCACTTGCAGACTTTACAAACAGAGTGTTTCCAAACTGCTCTATGAAAAGAAAGGTTAAACTATGTGAGTTGAACGCACACATCACAAATAATTTTCTGAGAATGATTCTGTCTGGTTTTTATTTGAAGATATTTCCCTTTCTACTGTTGGCATCAAATGGCTAGAAATCTCCACTTGCAAATTCCGCAAAAAGAGTGTTTCAAATCTGCTCTGTCTAAAGGGACGTTCCACTCTGTGAGTTGAATGCACACAACACAAAGAATTTACTGAGAATTCTTCCGTCTAGCATTCAATGAAGAAATCCCGTTTCCAACGAAGGCCTCAAAGAGGTCCATATATCCACTTGCAGACTTTACAAACAGTGTGTTTCCAAACTCCTCTATGAAAAGAAAGGTTAAACTCTGTGAGTGGAACGCACACATCACAAAGCACTTTCTGAGAATGATTCTGTCTGGTTATTATACGAAGATATTTCCTTTTCTGCAATTGTCCTCAAATCGCTTGAAATCTCCACCTGAAAATGCCACAGCAAGAGTGTTTCAAATCTGCTCTCTCGAAAGCAAGGTTCAACTCTGTGAGTTGAATACACACAACACAAAAAAGTTACTGAGAACTCTTCTTAGTCTAGCATGAAAGGAAGAAACCCCGTTTGCAACGAAGGCCTCAAAGAGGTCCAAATATCCACTTGCAGACATAACAAGCAGAGTGTTTCTAAACTGCTCTAAGAAAAGAAAGGTTAAACTCTGTGAGTTGAAGGCACACATCACAAAGTAGTTTCTGAGAATGATTCTGTCTAGTTTTTATTTGAAGATATTTCCTTTTCTACTGTTGGCATCAAATCGCTTGAAATCTCCACTTGCAAACTCCACAAAAAGAGTGTTTCAAATCTGCTCTGTGCAAAGGGACGTTCCACTCTGTGAGTTGAATACACACAGCACAAAGAAGTTACTGAGAATTCTTCTGTCTAGCATGAAATGAAGAAATCCCGTTTCCAACGAAGGCCTCAATGCGGTCCATATATCCACTTGCAGACTTTACAAACAGAGTGTTTCCAAACTGCTCTATGAAAAGAAAGGTTAAACTATGTGAGTTGAACGCACACATCACAAAGAATTTTCTGAGAATGATTCTGTCTGGTTTTTATTTGAAGATATTTCCCTTTCTACTGTTGGCATCAAATGGCTAGAAATCTCCACTTGCAAATTCCGCAAAAAGAGTGTTTCAAATCTGCTCTGTCTAAAGGGACGTTCCACTCTGTGAGTTCAATGCACACAACACAAAGAATTTACTGAGAATTCTTCCGTCTAGCATTCAATGAAGAAATCCCGTTTCCAACGGAGGCCTCAAACACGTCCATATATCCAATTGCAGACTTTACAAACAGTGTGTTTCCAAGCTCCTCTATGAAAAGAAAGGTTAAACTCTGTGAGTTGAACGCACACATCACAAAGCACTTTCTGAGAATGATTCTGTCTGGTTATTATACGAAGATATTTCCTTTTCTGCAATTGTCCTCAAATCGCTTGAAATCTCCACCTGAAAATTCCACAGCAAGAGTGTTTCAAATCTGCTCTCTCTAAAGCAAGGTTCAACTCTGTGAGTTGAATACACACAACACAAAAAAGTTACTGAGAACTCTTCTTAGTCTAGCATTAAAGGAAGAAACCCCGTTTGCAACGAAGGCCTCAAAGAGGTCCAAATATCCACTTGCAGACATAACAAGCAGAGTGTTTCTAAACTGCTCTAAGAAAAGAAAGGTTAAACTCTGTGAGTTGAAGGCACACATCACAAAGTAGTTTCTGAGAATGATTCTGTCTAGTTTTTATTTGAAGATATTTCCTTTTCTACTGTTGGCATCAAATCGCTTGAAATCTCCACTTGCAAACTCCACAAAAAGAGTGTTTCAAATCTGCTCTGTGCAAAGGGACGTTCCACTCTGTGAGTTGAATACACACAGCACAAAGAAGTTACTGAGAATTCTTCTGTCTAGCATGAAATGAAGAAATCCCGTTTCCAACGAAGGCCTCAATGCGGTCCATATATCCACTTGCAGACTTTACAAACAGAGTGTTTCCAAACTGCTCTATGAAAAGAAAGGTTAAACTATGTGAGTTGAACGCACACATCACAAAGAATTTTCTGAGAATGATTCTGTCTGGTTTTTATTTGAAGATATTTCCCTTTCTACTGTTGGCATCAAATGGCTAGAAATCTCCACTTGCAAATTCCGCAAAAAGAGTGTTTCAAATCTGCTCTGTCTAAAGGGACGTTCCACTCTGTGAGTTGAATGCACACAACACAAAGAATTTACTGAGAATTCTTCCGTCTAGCATTCAATGAAGAAATCCCGTTTCCAACGAAGGCCTCAAACAGGTCCATATATCCAATTGCAGACTTTACAAACAGTGTGTTTCCAAACTCCTCTATGAAAAGAAAGGTTAAACTCTGTGAGTTGAACGCACACATCACAAAGCACTTTCTGAGAATGATTCTGTCTGGTTGTTATACGAAGATATTTCCTTTTCTGCAATTGTCCTCAAATCGCTTGAAATCTCCACCTGAAAATGCCACAGCAAGAGTGTTTCAAATCTGCTCTCTCTAAAGCAAGGTTCAGCTCTGTGAGTTGAATACACACAACACAAAAAAGTTACTGAGAACTCTTCTTAGTCTAGCATGAAAGGAAGAAACCCCGTTTGCAACGAAGGCCTCAAAGAGGTCCAAATATCCACTTGCAGACATAACAAGCAGAGTGTTTCTAAACTGCTCTAAGAAAAGAAAGGTTAAACTCTGTGAGTTGAAGGCACACATCACAAAGTAGTTTCTGAGAATGATTCTGTCTAGTTTTTATTTGAAGATATTTCCTTTTCTACTGTTGGCATCAAATCGCTTGAAATCTCCACTTGCAAACTCCACAAAAAGAGTGTTTCAAATCTGCTCTGTGCAAAGGGACGTTCCACTCTGTGAGTTGAATACACACAGCACAAAGAAGTTACTGAGAATTCTTCTGTCTAGCATGAAATGAAGAAATCCCGTTTCCAACGAAGGCCTCAATGCGGTCCATATATCCACTTGCAGACTTTACAAACAGAGTGTTTCCAAACTGCTCTATGAAAAGAAAGGTTAAACTATGTGAGTTGAACGCACACATCACAAAGAATTTTCTGAGAATGATTCTGTCTGGTTTTTATTTGAAGATATTTCCCTTTCTACTGTTGGCATCAAATGGCTAGAAATCTCCACTTGCAAATTCCGCAAAAAGAGTGTTTCAAATCTGCTCTGTCTAAAGGGACGTTCCACTCTGTGAGTTGAATGCACACAACACAAAGAATTTACTGAGAATTCTTCCGTCTAGCATTCAATGAAGAAATCCCGTTTCCAACGAAGGCCTCAAAGAGGTCCAAATATCCACTTGCAGACATAACAAGCAGAGTGTTTCTAAACTGCTCTAAGAAAAGAAAGGTTAAACTCTGTGAGTTGAAGGCACACATCACAAAGTAGTTTCTAAATGATTCTGTCTAGTTTTTATTTGAAGATATTTCCTTTTCTACTGTTGGCATCAAATCGCTTGAAATCTCCACTTGCAAATTCCACAAAAAGAGTGTTTCAAATCTGCTCTGTGCAAAGGGACGTTCCACTCTGTGAGTTGAATACACACAGCACAAAAGAAGTTACTGAGAATTCTTCTGTCTAGCATGAAATGAAGAAATCCCGTTTCCAACGAAGGCCTCAATGCGGTCCATATATCCACTTGCAGACTTTACAAACAGAGTGTTTCCAAACTGCTCTATGAAAAGAAAGGTTAAACTATGTGAGTTGAACGCACACATCACAAAGAATTTTCTGAGAATGATTCTGTCTGGTTTTTATTTGAAGATATTTCCCTTTCTACTGTTGGCATCAAATGGCTAGAAATCTCCACTTGCAAATTCCGCAAAAAGAGTGTTTCAAATCTGCTCTGTCTAAAGGGACGTTCCACTCTGTGAGTTGAATGCACACAACACAAAGAATTTACTGAGAATTCTTCCGTCTAGCATTCAATGAAGAAATCCCGTTTCCAACGAAGGCCTCAAACAGGTCCATATATCCAACTGCAGACTTTACAAACAGTGTGTTTCCAAACTCCTCTATGAAAAGAAAGGTTAAACTCTGTGAGTTGAACGCACACATCACAAAGCACTTTCTGAGAATGATTCTGTCTGGTTATTATACGAAGATATTTCCTTTTCTGCAATTGTCCTCAAAACGCTTGAAATCTCCACCTGAAAATGCCACAGCAAGAGTGTTTCAAATCTGCTCTCTCTAAAGCAAGGTTCAACTCTGTGAGTTGAATACACACAACACAAAAAAGTTACTGAGAACTCTTCTTAGTCTAGCATTAAAGGAAGAAACCCCGATTGCAACGAAGGCCTCAAAGAGGTCCAAATATCCACTTGCAGACATAACAAGCAGAGTGTTTCTAAACTGCTCTAAGAAAAGAAAGGTTAAACTCTGTGAGTTGAAGGCACACATCACAAAGTAGTTTCTGAGAATGATTCTGTCTAGTTTTTATTTGAAGATATTTCCTTTTCTACTGTTGGCATCAAATCGCTTGAAATCTCCACTTGCAAATTCCACAAAAAGAGTGTTTCAAATCTGCTCTGTGCAAAGGGACGTTCCACTCTGTGAGTTGAATACACACAGCACAAAGAAGTTACTGAGAATTCTTCTGTCTAGCATGAAATGAAGAAATCCCGTTTCCAACGAAGGCCTCAATGCGGTCCATATATCCACTTGCAGACTTTACAAACAGAGTGTTTCCAAACTGCTCTATGAAAAGAAAGGTTAAACTATGTGAGTTGAACGCACACATCACAAAGAATTTTCTGAGAATGATTCTGTCTGGTTTTTATTTGAAGATATTTCCCTTTCTACTGTTGGCATCAAATGGCTAGAAATCTCCACTTGCAAATTCCGCAAAAAGAGTGTTTCAAATCTGCTCTGTCTAAAGGGACGTTCCACTCTGTGAGTTGAATGCACACAACACAAAGAATTTACTGAGAATTCTTCCGTCTAGCATTCAATGAAGAAATCCCGTTTCCAACGAAGGCCTCAAACAGGTCCATATATCCACTTGCAGAGTTTACAAACAGTGTGTTTCCAAACTCCTCTATGAAAAGAAAGGTTAAACTCTGTGAGTGGAAAGCACACATCACAAAGCACTTTCTGAGAATGATTCTGTCTGGTTATTATACGAAGATATTCCCTTTTCTGCAATTTTCCTCAAATCGCTTGAAATCTCCACCTGAAAATGCCACAGCAAGAGTGTTTCAAATCTGCTCTCTCTAAAGCAAGGTTCAACTCTGTGAGTTGAATACACACAGCACAAAGAAGTTACTGAGAATTCTTCTGTCTAACATGAAATGAAGAAATCCCGTTTCCAACGAAGGCCTCAATGCGGTCCATATATCCACTTGCAGACTTTACAAACAGAGTGTTTCCAAACTGCTCTATGAAAAGAAAGGTTAAACTATGTGAGTTGAACGCACACATCACAAAGAATTTTCTGAGAATGATTCTGTCTGGTTTTTATTTGAAGATATTTCCCTTTCTACTGTTGGCATCAAATGGCTAGAAATCTCCACTTGCAAATTCCGCAAAAAGAGTGTTTCAAATCTGCTCTGTCTAAAGGGACGTTCCACTCTGTGAGTTGAATGCACACAACACAAAGAATTTACTGAGAATTCTTCCGTCTAGCATTCAATAAAGAAATCCCGTTTCCAACGAAGGCCTCAAACAGGTCCATATATCCACTTGCAGACTTTACAAACAGTGTGTTTCCAAACTCCTCTATGAAAAGAAAGGATAAACTCTGTGAGTTGAACCCTCACATCACAAAGCACTTTCTGAGAATGATTCTGTCTGGTTGTTATACGAAGATATTTCCTTTTCTGCAATTGTCCTCAAATCGCTTGAAATCTCCAACTGAAAATGCCACAGCAAGAGTGTTTCAAATCTGCTCTCTCTAAAGCATGGTTCAACTCTGTGAGTTGAATACACACAACACAAAAAAGTTACTGAGAACTCTTCTTAGTCTAGCATGAAAGGAAGAAACCCCGTTTGCAACGAAGGCCTCAAAGAGGTCCAAATATCCACTTGCAGACATAACAAGCAGAGTGTTTCTAAACTGCTCTAAGAAAAGAAAGGTTAAACTATGTGAGTTGAACGCACACATCACAAAGAATTTTCTGAGAATGATTCTGTCTGGTTTTTATTTGAAGATATTTCCCTTTCTACTGTTGGCATCAAATGGCTAGAAATCTCCACTTGCAAATTCCGCAAAAAGAGTGTTTCAAATCTGCTCTGTCTAAAGGGACGTACCACTCTGTGAGTTGAATGCACACAACACAAAGAATTTACTGAGAATTCTTCCGTCTAGCATTCAATGAAGAAATCCCGTTTCCAACGAAGGCCTCAAACAGGTCCATATATCCACTTGCAGACTTTACAAACAGTGTGTTTCCAAACTCCTCTATGAAAAGAAAGGTTAAACTCTGTGAGTGGAACGCACACATCACAAAGCACTTTCTGAGAATGATTCTGTCTGGTTATTATACGAAGATATTTCCTTTTCTGCAATTGTCCTCAAATCGCTTGAAATCTCCACCTGAAAATGCCACAGCAAGAGTGTTTCAAATCTGCTCTCTCTAAAGCAAGGTTCAACTCTGTGAGTTGAATACACACAACACAAAAAAGTTACTGAGAACTCTTCTTAGTCTAGCATGAAAGGAAGAAACCCCGTTTGCAACGAAGGCCTCAAAGAGGTCCAAATATCCACTTGCAGACATAACAAGCAGAGTGTTTCTAAACTGCTCTAAGAAAAGAAAGGTTAAACTCTGTGAGTTGAAGGCACACATCACAAAGCACTTTCTGAGAATGATTCTGTCTGGTTGTTATACGAAGATATTTCCTTTTCTACTGTTGGCATCAAATCGCTTGAAATCTCCACTTGCAAACTCCACAAAAAGAGTGTTTCAAATCTGCTCTGTGCAAAGGGACGTTCCACTCTGTGAGTTGAATACACACAGCACAAAGAAGTTACTGAGAATTCTTCTGTCTAGCATGAAATGAAGAAATCCCGTTTCCAACGAAGGCCTCAATGCGGTCCATATATCCACTTGCAGACTTTACAAACAGAGTGTTTCCAAACTGCTCTATGAAAAGAAAGGTTAAACTATGTGAGTTGAACGCACACATCACAAAGAATTTTCTGAGAATGATTCTGTCTGGTTTTTATTTGAAGATATTTCCCTTTCTACTGTTGGCATCAAATGGCTAGAAATCTCCACTTGCAAATTCCGCAAAAAGAGTGTTTCAAATCTGCTCTGTCTAAAGGGACGTTCCACTCTGTGAGTTGAATGCACACAACACAAAGAATTTACTGAGAATTCTTCCGTCTAGCATTCAATGAAGAAATCCCGTTTGCAACGAAGGCCTCAAACAGGTCCATATATCCACTTGCAGAGTTTACAAACAGTGTGTTTCCAAACTCCTCTATGAAAAGAAAGGTTAAACTCTGTGAGTGGAACGCACACATCACAAAGCACTTTCTGAGAATGATTCTGTCTGGTTATTATACGAAGATATTCCCTTTTCTGCAATTTTCCTCAAATCGCTTGAAATCTCCACCTGAAAATGCCACAGCAAGAGTGTTTCAAATCTGCTCTCTCTAAAGCAAGGTTCAACTCTGTGATTTGAATACACACAGCACAAAGAAGTTACTGAGAATTCTTCTGTCTAGCATGAAATGAAGAAATCCCGTTTCCAACGAAGGCCTCAATGCGGTCCATATATCCACTTGCAGACTTTACAAACAGAGTGTTTCCAAACTGCTCTATGAAAAGAAAGGTTAAACTACGTGAGTTGAACGCACACATCACAAAGAATTTTCTGAGAATGATTCTGTCTGGTTTTTATTTGAAGATATTTCCCTTTCTACTGTTGGCATCAAATGGCTAGAAATCTCCACTTGCAAATTCCGTAAAAAGAGTGTTTCAAATCTGCTCTGTCTAAAGGGACGTTCCACTCTGTGAGTTGAATGCACACAACACAAAGAATTTACTGAGAATTCTTCCGTCTAGCATTCAATGAAGAAATCCCGTTTCCAACGAAGGCCTCAAAGAGGTCCATATATCCACTTGCAGACTTTACAAACAGTGTGTTTCCAAACTCCTCTATGAAAAGAAAGGTTAAACTCTGTGAGTGGAACGCACACATCACAAAGCACTTTCTGAGAATGATTCTGTCTGGTTATTATACGAAGATATTTCCTTTTCTGCAATTGTCCTCAAAACGCTTGAAATCTCCACCTGAAAATGCCACAGCAAGAGTGTTTCAAATCTGCTCTCTCTAAAGCAAGGTTCAACTCTGTGAGTTGAATACACACAACACAAAAAAGTTACTGAGAACTCTTCTTAGTCTAGCATGAAAGGAAGAAACCCCGTTTGCAACGAAGGCCTCAAAGAGGTCCAAATATCCACTTGCAGACATAACAAGCAGAGTGTTTCTAAACTGCTCTAAGAAAAGAAAGGTTAAACTCTGTGAGTTGAAGGCACACATCACAAAGTAGTTTCTGAGAATGATTCTGTCTAGTTTTTATTTGAAGATATTTCCTTTTCTACTGTTGGCATCAAATCGCTTGAAATCTCCACTTGCAAACTCCACAAAAAGAGTGTTTCAAATCTGCTCTGTGCAAAGGGACGTTCCACTATGTGAGTTGAATACACACAGCACAAAGAAGTTACTGAGAAT
Organism: Homo sapiens; assembly: GCF_000001405.40. Taxonomy (NCBI): domain Eukaryota; kingdom Metazoa; phylum Chordata; class Mammalia; order Primates; family Hominidae; genus Homo; species Homo sapiens. The sequence continues at coordinate 58,371,295 of NC_000007.14, read as the reverse complement.
TCTTCTGTCTAGCATGAAATGAAGAAATCCCGTTTCCAACGAAGGCCTCAATGCGGTCCATATATCCACTTGCAGACTTTACAAACAGAGTGTTTCCAAACTGCTCTATGAAAAGAAAGGTTAAACTATGTGAGTTGAACGCACACATCACAAAGAATTTTCTGAGAATGATTCTGTCTGGTTTTTATTTGAAGATATTTCCCTTTCTACTGTTGGCATCAAATGGCTAGAAATCTCCACTTGCAAATTCCGCAAAAAGAGTGTTTCAAATCTGCTCTGTCTAAAGGGACGTTCCACTCTGTGAGTTGAATGCACACCACACAAAGAATTTACTGAGAATTCTTCCGTCTAGCATTCAATGAAGAAATCCCGTTTCCAACGAAGGCCTCAAACAGGTCCATATATCCAATTGCAGACTTTACAAACAGTGTGTTTCCAAACTCCTCTATGAAAAGAAAGGTTAAACTCTGTGAGTTGAACGCACACATCACAAAGCACTTTCTGAGAATGATTCTGTCTGGTTATTATACGAAGATATTTCCTTTTCTGCAATTGTCCTCAAATCGTTTGAAATCTCCACCTGATAATGCCACAGCGAGAGTGTTTCAAATCTGCTCTCTCTAAAGCAAGGTTCAACTCTGTGAGTTGAATACACACAACACAAAAAAGTTACTGAGAACTCTTCTTAGTCTAGCATTAAAGGAAGAAACCCCGTTTGCAACGAAGGCCTCAAAGAGGTCCAAATATCCACTTGCAGACATAACAAGCAGAGTGTTTCTAAGCTGCTCTAAGAAAAGAAAGGTTAAACTCTGTGAGTTGAAGGCACACATCACAAAGTAGTTTCTGAGAATGATTCTGTCTAGTTTTTATTTGAAGATATTTCCTTTTCTACTGTTGGCATAAAATCGCTTGAAATCTCCACTTGCAAACTCCACAAAAAGAGTGTTTCAAATCTGCTCTGTGTAAAGGGACGTTGCACTCTGTGAGTTGAATACACACAGCACAAAGAAGTTACTGAGAATTCTTCTGTCTAGCATGAAATGAAGAAATCCCGTTTCCAACGAAGGCCTCAATGCGGTCCATATATCCACTTGCAGACTTTACAAACAGAGTGTTTCCAAACTGCTCTATGAAAAGAAAGGTTAAACTATGTGAGTTGAACGCACACATCACAAAGAATTTTCTGAGAATGATTCTGTCTGGTTTTTATTTGAAGATATTTCCCTTTCTACTGTTGGCATCAAATGGCTAGAAATCTCCACTTGCAAATTCCGCAAAAAGAGTGTTTCAAATCTGCTCTGTCTAAAGGGACGTTCCACTCTGTGAGTTCAATGCACACAACACAAAGAATTTACTGAGAATTCTTCCGTCTAGCATTCAATGAAGAAATCCCGTTTCCAACGGAGGCCTCAAACAGGTCCATATATCCAATTGCAGACTTTACAAACAGTGTGTTTCCAAGCTCCTCTATGAAAAGAAAGGTTAAACTCTGTGAGTTGAACGCACACATCACAAAGCACTTTCTGAGAATGATTCTGTCTGGTTATTATACGAAGATATTTCCTTTTCTGCAATTGTCCTCAAATCGCTTGAAATCTCCACCTGAAAATTCCACAGCAAGAGTGTTTCAAATCTGCTCTCTCTAAAGCAAGGTTCAACTCTGTGAGTTGAATACACACAACACAAAAAAGTTACTGAGAACTCTTCTTAGTCTAGCATTAAAGGAAGAAACCCCGTTTGCAACGAAGGCCTCAAAGAGGTCCAAATATCCACTTGCAGACATAACAAGCAGAGTGTTTCTAAACTGCTCTAAGAAAAGAAAGGTTAAACTCTGTGAGTTGAAGGCACACATCAAAAAGTAGTTTCTGAGAATGATTCTGTCTAGTTTTTATTTGAAGATATTTCCTTTTCTACTGTTGGCATCAAATCGCTTGAAATCTCCACTTGCAAACTCCACAAAAAGAGTGTTTCAAATCTGCTCTGTGTAAAGGGACGTTCCACTCTGTGAGTTGAATACACACAGCACAAAGAAGTTACTGAGAATTCTTCTGTCTAGCATGAAATGAAGAAATCCCGTTTCCAACGAAGGCCTCAATGCGGTCCATATATCCACTTGCAGACTTTACAAACAGAGTGTTTCCAAACTGCTCCATGAAAAGAAAGGTTAAACTATGTGAGTTGAACGCACACATCACAAAGAATTTTCTGAGAATGATTCTGTCTGGTTTTTATTTGAAGATATTTCCCTTTCTACTGTTGACATCAAATGGCTAGAAATCTCCACTTGCAAATTCCGCAAAAAGAGTGTTTCAAATCTGCTCTGTCTAAAGGGACGTTCCACTCTGTGAGTTGAATGCACACAACACAATTTACTGAGAATTCTTCCGTCTAGCATTCAATGAAGAAATCCCGTTTCCAACGGAGGCCTCAAACAGGTCCATATATCCAATTGCAGACTTTACAAACAGTGTGTTTCCAAACTCCTCTATGAAAAGAAAGGTTAAACTCTGTGAGTTGAACGCACACATCACAAAGCACTTTCTGAGAATGATTCTGTCTGGTTATTATACGAAGATATTTCCGTTTCTGCAATTGTCCTCAAATCGCTTGAAATCTCCACCTGAAAATGCCACAGCAAGAGTGTTTCAAACCTGCTCTCTCTAAAGCAAGGTTCAACTCTGTGAGTTGAATACACACAACACAAAAAAGTTACTGAGAACTCTTCTTAGTCTAGCATTAAAGGAAGAAACCCCGTTTGCAACGAAGGCCTCAAAGAGGTCCAAATATCCACTTGCAGACATAACAAGCAGAGTGTTTCTAAACTGCTCTAAGAAAAGAAAGGTTAAACTCTGTGAGTTAAAGGCACACATCACAAAGTAGTTTCTGAGAATGATTCTGTCTAGTTTTTATTTGAAGATATTTCCTTTTCTACTGTTGGCATCAAATCGCTTGAAATCTCCACTTGCAAACTCCACAAAAAGAGTGTTTCAAATCTGCTCTGTGCAAAGGGACGTTCCACTCTGTGAGTTGAATACACACAGCACAAAGAAGTTACTGAGAATTCTTCTGTCTAGCATGAAATGAAGAAATCCCGTTTCCAACGAAGGCCTCAATGCGGTCCATATATCCACTTGCAGACTTTACAAACAGAGTGTTTCCAAACTGCTCTATGAAAAGAAAGGTTAAACTATGTGAGTTGAACGCACACATCACAAAGAATTTTCTGAGAATGATTCTGTCTGGTTTTTATTTGAAGATATTTCCCTTTCTACTGTTGGCATCAAATGGCTAGAAATCTCCACTTGCAAATTCCGCAAAAAGAGTGTTTCAAATCTGCTCTGTCTAAAGGGACGTTCCACTCTGTCAGTTGAATGCACACAACACAAAGAATTTACTGAGAATTCTTCCGTCTAGCATTCAATGAAGAAATCCCGTTTCCAAAGAAGGCCTCAAACAGGTCCATATATCCAATTGCAGACTTTACAAACAGTGTGTTTCCAAACTCCTCTATGAAAAGAAAGGTTAAACTCTGTGAGTTGAACGCACACATCACAAAGCACTTTCTGAGAATGATTCTGTCTGGTTATTATACGAAGATATTTCCTTTTCTGCAATTGTCCTCAAATCGCTTGAAATCTCCACCTGAAAATGCCACAGCAAGAGTGTTTCAAATCTGCTCTCTCTAAAGCAAGGTTCAACTCTGTGAGTTGAATACACACAACACAAAAAAGTTACTGAGAACTCTTCTTAGTCTAGCATGAAAGGAAGAAACCCCGTTTGCAACGAAGGCCTCAAAGAGGTCCAAATATCCACTTGCAGACATAACAAGCAGAGTGTTTCTAAACTGCTCTAAGAAAAGAAAGGTTAAACTCTGTGAGTTGAAGGCACACATCACAAAGTAGTTTTTGAGAATGATTCTGTCTAGTTTTTATTTGAAGATATTTCCTTTTCTACTGTTGGCATCAAATCGCTTGAAATCTCCACTTGCAAACTCCACAAAAAGAGTGTTTCAAATCCGCTCTGTGCAAAGGGACGTTCCACTCTGTGAGTTGAATACACACAGCACAAAGAAGTTACTGAGAATTCTTCTGTCTAGCATGAAATGAAGAAATCCCGTTTCCAACGAAGGCCTCAATGCGGTCCATATATCCACTTGCAGACTTTACAAACAGAGTGTTTCCAAACTGCTCTATGAAAAGAAAGGTTAAACTATGTGAGTTGAACGCACACATCACAAAGAATTTTCTGAGAATGATTCTGTCTGGTTTTTATTTGAAGATATTTCCCTTTCTACTGTTGGCATCAAATGGCTAGAAATCTCCACTTGCAAATTCCGCAAAAAGAGTGTTTCAAATCTGCTCTGTCTAAAGGGACGTTCCACTCTGTGAGTTGAATGCACACAACACAAAGAATTTACTGAGAATTCTTCCGTCTAGCATTCAATGAAGAAATCCCGTTTCCAACGAAGGCCTCAAACAGGTCCATATATCCACTTGCAGACTTTACAAACAGTGTGTTTCCAAACTCCTCTATGAAAAGAAAGGTTAAACTCTGTGAGTGGAACGCACACATCACAAAGCACTTTCTGAGAATGATTCTGTCTGGTTATTATACAAAGATATTTCCTTTTCTGCAATTGTCCTCAAATCGCTTGAAATCTCCACCTGAAAATGCCACAGCAAGAGTGTTTCAAATCTGCTCTCTCTAAAGCAAGGTTCAACTCTGTGAGTTGAATACACACAACACAAAAAAGTTACTGAGAACTCTTCTTAGTCTAGCATGAAAGGAAGAAACCCCGTTTGCAACGAAGGCCTCAAAGAGGTCCAAATATCCACTTGCAGACATAACAAGCAGAGTGTTTCTAAACTGCTCTAAGAAAAGAAAGGTTAAACTCTGTGAGTTGAAGGCACACATCACAAAGTAGTTTCTGAGAATGATTCTGTCTAGTTTTTATTTGAAGATATTTCCTTTTCTACTGTTGGCATCAAATCGCTTGAAATCTCCACTTGCAAACTCCACAAAAAGAGTGTTTCAAATCTGCTCTGTGTAAAGGGACGTTCCACTCTGTGAGTTGAATACACACAGCACAAAGAAGTTACTGAGAATTCTTCTGTCTAGCATGAAATGAAGAAATCCCGTTTCCAACGAAGGCCTCAATGCGGTCCATATATCCACTTGCAGACTTTACAAACAGAGTGTTTCCAAACTGCTCTATGAAAAGAAAGGTTAAACTATGTGAGTTGAACGCACACATCACAAAGAATTTTCTGAGAATGATTCTGTCTGGTTTTTATTTGAAGATATTTCCCTTTCTACTGTTGGCATCAAATGGCTAGAAATCTCCACTTGCAAATTCCGCAAAAAGAGTGTTTCAAATCTGCTCTGTCTAAAGGGACGTTCCACTCTGTGAGTTGAATGCACACAACACAAAGAATTTACTGAGAATTCTTCCGTCTAGCATTCAATGAAGAAATCCCGTTTCCAACGAAGGCCTCAAACAGGTCCATATATCCACTTGCAGAGTTTACAAACAGTGTGTTTCCAAACTCCTCTATGAAAAGAAAGGTTAAACTCTGTGAGTGGAACGCACACATCACAAAGCACTTTCTGAGAATGATTCTGTCTGGTTATTATACGAAGATATTTCCTTTTCTGCAATTGTCCTCAAATCGCTTGAAATCTCCACCTGAAAATGCCACAGCAAGAGTGTTTCAAATCTGCTCTCTCTAAAGCAAGGTTCAACTCTGTGAGTTGAATACACACAACACAAAAAAGTTACTGAGAACTCTTCTTAGTCTAGCATGAAAGGAAGAAACCCCGTTTGCAACGAAGGCCTCAAAGAGGTCCAAATATCCACTTGCAGACATAACAAGCAGAGTGTTTCTAAACTGCTCTAAGAAAAGAAAGGTTAAACTCTGTGAGTTGAAGGCACACATCACAAAGTAGTTTCTGAGAATGATTCTGTCTAGTTTTTATTTGAAGATATTTCCTTTTCTACTGCTGGCATCAAATCGCTTGAAATCTCCACTTGCAAACTCCACAAAAAGAGTGTTTCAAATCTGCTCTGTGTAAAGGGACGTTCCACTCTGTGAGTTGAATACACACAGCACAAAGAAGTTACTGAGAATTCTTCTGTCTAGCATGAAATGAAGAAATCCCGTTTCCAACGAAGGCCTCAATGCGGTCCATATATCCACTTGCAGACTTTACAAACAGAGTGTTTCCAAACTGCTCTATGAAAAGAAAGGTTAAACTATGTGAGTTGAACGAACACATCACAAAGAATTTTCTGAGAATGATTCTGTCTGGTTTTTATTTGAAGATATTTCCCTTTCTACTGTTGGCATCAAATGGCTAGAAATCTCCACTTGCAAATTCCGCCAAAAAGTGTTTCAAATCTGCTCTGTCTAAAGGGACGTTCCACTCTGTGAGTTGAATGCACACAACACAAAGAATTTACTGAGAATTCTTCCGTCTAGCATTCAATGAAGAAATCCCGTTTCCAACGAAGGCCTCAAACAGGTCCATATATCCAATTGCAGACATTACAAACAGTGTGTTTCCAAACTCCTCTATGAAAAGAAAGGTTAAACTCTGTGAGTTGAACGCACACATCACAAAGCACTTTCTGAGAATGATTCTGTCTGGTTATTATACGAAGATATTTCCTTTTCTGCAATTGTCCTCAAAACGCTTGAAATCTCCACCTGAAAATGCCACAGCAAGAGTGTTTCAAATCTGCTCTCTCTAAAGCAAGGTTCAACTCTGTGAGTTGAATACACACAACACAAAAAAGTTACTGAGAACTCTTCTTAGTCTAGCATGAAAGGAAGAAACCCCGTTTGCAACGAAGGCCTCAAAGAGGTCCAAATATCCACTTGCAGACATAACAAGCAGAGTGTTTCTAAACTGCTCTAAGAAAAGAAAGGTTAAACTCTGTGAGTTGAAGGCACACATCACAAAGTAGTTTCTGAGAATGATTCTGTCTAGTTTTTATTTGAAGATATTTCCTTTTCTACTGTTGGCATCAAATCGCTTGAAATCTACACTTGCAAACTCCACAAAAAGAGTGTTTCAAATCTGCTCTGTGTAAAGGGACGTTCCACTCTGTGAGTTGAATACACACAGCACAAAGAAGTTATTGAGAATTCTTCTGTCTAGCATGAAATGAAGGAAATCCCGTTTCCAACGAAGGCCTCAATGCGGTCCATATATCCACTTGCAGACTTTACAAACAGAGTGTTTCCAAACTGCTCTATGAAAAGAAAGGTTAAACTATGTGAGTTGAACGCACACATCACAAAGAATTTTCTGAGAATGATTCTGTCTGGTTTTTATTTGAAGATATTTCCCTTTCTACTGTTGGCATCAAATGGCTAGAAATCTCCACTTGCAAATTCCGCAAAAAGAGTGTTTCAAATCTGCTCTGTCTAAAGGGACGTTCCACTCTGTGAGTTGAATGCACACAACACAAAGAATTTACTGAGAATTCTTCCGTCTAGCATTCAATGAAGAAATCCCGTTTCCAAAGAAGGCCTCAAACAGGTCCATATATCCAATTGCAGACTTTACAAACAGTGTGTTTCCAAACTCCTCTATGAAAAGAAAGGTTAAACTCTGTGAGTTGAACGCACACATCACAAAGCACTTTCTGAGAATGATTCTGTCTGGTTATTATACGAAGATATTTCCTTTTCTGCAATTGTCCTCAAATCGCTTGAAATCTCCACCTGAAAATGCCACATCAAGAGTGTTTCAAATCTGCTCTCTCTAAAGCAAGGTTCAACTCTGTGAGTTGAATACACACAACACAAAAAAGTTACTGAGAACTCTTCTTAGTCTAGCATGAAAGGAAGAAACCCCGTTTGCAACGAAGGCCTCAAAGAGGTCCAAATATCCACTTGCAGACATAACAAGCAGAGTGTTTCTAAACTGCTCTAAGAAAAGAAAGGTTAAACTCTGTGAGTTGAAGGCACACATCACAAAGTAGTTTTTGAGAATGCTTCTGTCTAGTTTTTATTTGAAGATATTTCCTTTTCTACTGTTGGCATCAAATCGCTTGAAATCTCCACTTGCAAACTCCACAAAAAGAGTGTTTCAAATCCGCTCTGTGCAAAGGGACGTTCCACTCTGTGAGTTGAATACACACAGCACAAAGAAGTTACTGAGAATGCTTCTGTCTAGCATGAAATGAAGAAATCCCGTTTCCAACGAAGGCCTCAATGCGGTCCATATATCCACTTGCAGACTTTACAAACAGAGTGTTTCCAAACTGCTCTATGAAAAGAAAGGTTAAACTATGTGAGTTGAACGCACACATCACAAAGAATTTTCTGAGAATGATTCTGTCTGGTTTTTATTTGAAGATATTTCCCTTTCTACTGTTGGCATGAAATGGCTAGAAATCTCCACTTGCAAATTCCGCAAAAAGAGTGTTTCAAATCTGCTCTGTCTAAAGGGACGTTCCACTCTGTCAGTTGAATGCACACAACACAAAGAATTTACTGAGAATTCTTCCGCCTAGCATTCAATGAAGAAATCCCGTTTCCAACGAAGGTCTCAAACAGGTCCATATATCCAATTGCAGACTTTACAAACAGTGTGTTTCCAAACTCCTCTATGAAAAGAAAGGTTAAACTCTGTGAGTTGAACGCACACATCACAAAGCACTTTCTGAGAATGATTTCTGTCTGGTTATTATACGAAGATATTTCCTTTTCTGCAATTGTCCTCAAATCGCTTGAAATCTCCACCTGAAAATGCCACAGCAAGAGTGTTTCAAATCTGCTCTCTCTAAAGCAAGGTTCAACTCTGTGAGTTGAATACACACAACACAAAAAAGTTACTGAGAACTCTTCTTAGTCTAGCATGAAAGGAAGAAACCCCGTTTGCAACGAAGGCCTCAAAGAGGTCCAAATATCCACTTGCAGACATAACAAGCAGAGTGTTTCTAAACTGCTCTAAGAAAAGAAAGGTTAAACTCTGTGAGTTGAAGGCACACATCACAAAGTAGTTTCTGAGAATGATTCTGTCTAGTTTTTATTTGAAGATATTTCCTTTTCTACTGTTGGCATCAAATCGCTTGAAATCTTCACTTGCAAACTCCACAAAAAGAGTGTTTCAAATCTGCTCTGTGTAAAGGGACGTTCCACTCTGTGAGTTGAATACACACAGCACAAAGAAGTTGCTGAGAATTCTTCTGTCTAGCATGAAATGAAGAAATCCCGTTTCCAACGAAGGCCTCAATGCGGTCCATATATCCACTTGCAGACTTTACAAACAGAGTGTTTCCAAACTGCTCTATGAAAAGAAAGGTTAAACTATGTGAGTTGAACGCACACATCACAAAGAATTTTCTGAGAATGATTCTGTCTGGTTTTTATTTGAAGATGTTTCCCTTTCTACTGTTGGCATCAAATGGCTAGAAATCTCCACTTGCAAATTCCGCAAAAGGAGTGTTTCAAATCTGCTCTGTCTAAAGGGACGTTCCACTCTGTCAGTTGAATGCACACAACACAAAGAATTTACTGAGAATTCTTCCGTCTAGCATTCAATGAAGAAATCCCGTTTCCAACGAAGGCCTCAAACAGGTCCATATATCCAATTGCAGACTTTACAAACAGTGTGTTTCCAAACTCCTCTATGGAAAGAAAGGTTAAACTCTGTGAGTTGAACGCACACATCACAAAGCACTTTCTGAGAATGATTCTGTCTGGTTATTATACGAAGATATTTCCTTTTCTGCAATTGTCCTCAAATCGCTTGAAATCTCCACCTGAAAATGCCACAGCAAGAGTGTTTCAAATCTGCTCTCTCTAAAGCAAGGTTCAACTCTGTGAGTTGAATACACACAACACAAAAAAGTTACTGAGAACTCTTCTTAGTCTAGCATGAAAGGAAGAAACCCCGTTTGCAACGAAGGCCTCAAAGAGGTCCAAATATCCACTTGCAGACATAACAAGCAGAGTGTTTCTAAACTGCTCTAAGAAAAGAAAGGTTAAACTCTGTGAGTTGAAGGCACACATCACAAAGTAGTTTCTGAGAATGATTCTGTCTAGTTTTTATTTGAAGATATTTCCTTTTCTACTGTTGGCATCAAATCGCTTGAAATCTCCACTTGCAAACTCCACAAAAAGAGTGTTTCAAATCTGCTCTGTGTAAAGGGACGTTCCACTCTGTGAGTTGAATACACACAGCACAAAGAAGTTACTGAGAATTCTTCTGTCTAGCATGAAATGAAGAAATCCCGTTTCCAACGAAGGCCTCAATGCGGTCCATATATCCACTTTCAGACTTTACAAACAGAGTGTTTCAAAACTGCTCTATGAAAAGAAAGGTTAAACTATGTGAGTTGAACGCACACATTACAAAGAATTTTCTGAGAATGATTCTGTCTGGTTTTTATTTGAAGATATTTCCCTTTCTACTGTTGGCATCAAATGGCTAGAAATCTCCACTTGCAAATTCCGCAAAAAGAGTGTTTCAAATCTGCTCTGTCTAAAGGGACGTTCCACTCTGTGAGTTGAATGCACACAACACAAAGAATTTACTGAGAATTCTTCCGTCTAGCATTCAATGAAGAAATCCCGTTTCCAACGAAGGCCTCAAACAGGTCCATATATCCACTTGCAGACTTTACAAACAGTGTGTTTCCAAACTCCTCTATGAAAAGAAAGGTTAAACTCCGTGAGTGGAACGCACACATCACAAAGCACTTTCTGAGAATGATTCTGTCTGGTTATTATACGAAGATATTTCCTTTTCCGCAATTGTCCTCAAATCGCTTGAAATCTCCACCTGAAAATGCCACAGCAAGAGTGTTTCAAATCTGCTCTCTCTAAAGCAAGGTTCAACTCTGTGAGTTGAATACACACAACACAAAAAAGTTACTGAGAACTCTTCTTAGTCTAGCATGAAAGGAAGAAACCTCGTTTGCAACGAAGGCCTCAAAGAGGTCCAAATATCCACTTGCAGACATAACAAGCAGAGTGTTTCTAAACTGCTCTAAGAAAAGAAAGGTTAAACTCTGTGAGTTGAAGGCACACATCACAAAGTAGTTTCTGAGAATGATTCTGTCTAGTTTTTATTTGAAGATATTTCCTTTTCTACTGTTGGCATCAAATCGCTTGAAATCTCCACTTGCAAACTCCACAAAAAGAGTGTTTCAAATCTGCTCTGTGCAAAGGGACGTTCCACTCTGTGAGTTGAATACACACAGCACAAAGAAGTTACTGAGAATTCTTCTGTCTAGCATGAAATCAAGAAATCCCGTTTCCAACGAAGGCCTCAATGCGGTCCATATATCCACTTGCAGACTTTACAAACAGAGTGTTTCCAAACTGCTCTATGAAAAGAAAGGTTAAACTATGTGAGTTGAACGCACACATCACAAAGAATTTTCTGAGAATGATTCTGTCTGGTTTTTATTTGAAGATATTTCCCTTTCTACTGTTGGCATCAAATGGCTAGAAATCTCCACTTGCAAATTCCGCAAAAAGAGTGTTTCAAATCTGCTCTGTCTAAAGGGACGTTCCACTCTGTGAGTTGAATGCACACAACACAAAGAATTTACTGAGAATTCTTCCGTCTAGCATTCAATGAAGAAATCCCGTTTCCAACGAAGGCCTCAAACAGGTCCATATATCCAATTGCAGACTTTACAAACAGTGTGTTTCCAAACTCCTCTATGAAAAGAAAGGTTAAACTCTGTGAGTTGAACGCACACATCACAAAGCACTTTCTGAGAATGATTCTGTCTGGTTATTATACGAAGATATTTCCTTTTCTGCAATTGTCCTCAAATCGCTTGAAATCTCCACCTGAAAATGCCACAGCAAGAGTGTTTCAAATCTGCTCTCTCTAAAGCAAGGTTCAACTCTGTGAGTTGAATACACACAACACAAAAAAGTTACTGAGAACTCTTCTTAGTCTAGCATGAAAGGAAGAAACCCCGTTTGCAACGAAGGCCTCAAAGAGGTCCAAATATCCACTTGCAGACATAACAAGCAGAGTGTTTCTAAACTGCTCTAAGAAAAGAAAGGTTAAACTCTGTGAGTTGAAGGCACACATCACAAAGTAGTTTCTGAGAATGATTCTGTCTAGTTTTTATTTGAAGATATTTCCTTTTCTACTGTTGGCATCAAATCGCTTGAAATCTCCACTTGCAAACTCCACAAAAAGAGTGTTTCAAATCTGCTCTGTGCAAAGGGACGTTCCACTCTGTGAGTTGAATACACACAGCACAAAGAAGTTACTGAGAATTCTTCTGTCTAGCATGAAATGAAGAAATCCCGTTTCCAACGAAGGCCTCAATGCGGTCCATATATCCACTTGCAGACTTTACAAACAGAGTGTTTCCAAACTGCTCTATAAAAAGAAAGGTTAAACTATGTGAGTTGAACGCACACATCACAAAGAATTTTCTGAGAATGATTCTGTCTGGTTTTTATTTGAAGATATTTCCCTTTCTACTGTTGGCATCAAATGGCTAGAAATCTCCACTTGCAAATTCCGCAAAAAGAGTGTTTCAAATCTGCTCTGTCTAAAGGGACGTTCCACTCTGTGAGTTGAATGCACACAACACAAAGAATTTACTGAGAATTCTTCCGTCTAGCATTCAATGAAGAAATCCCGTTTCCAACGAAGGCCTCAAACAGGTCCATATATCCAATTGCAGACTTTACAAACAGTGTGTTTCCAAACTCCTCTATGAAAAGAAAGGTTAAACTCTGTGAGTTGAACGCACATATCACAAAGCACTTTCTGAGAATGATTCTGTCTGGTTATTATACGAAGATATTTCCTTTTCTGCAATTGTCCTCAAATCGCTTGAAATCTCCACCTGAAAATGCCACAGCAAGAGTGTTTCAAATCTGCTCTCTCTAAAGCAAGGTTCAACTCTGTGAGTTGAATACACACAACACGAAAAAGTTACTGAGAACTCTTCTTAGTCTAGCATGAAAGGAAGAAACCCCGTTTGCAACGAAGGCCTCAAAGAGGTCCAAATATCCACTTGCAGACATAACAAGCAGAGTGTTTCTAAACTGCTCTAAGAAAAGAAAGGTTAAACTCTGTGAGTTGAAGGCACACATCACAAAGTAGTTTCTGAGAATGATTCTGTCTAGTTTTTATTTGAAGATATTTCCTTTTCTACTGTTGGCATCAAATCGCTTGAAATCTCCACTTGCAAATTCCACAAAAAGAGTGTTTCAAATCTGCTCTGTGCAAACGGACGTTCCAGTCTGTGAGTTGAATACACACAGCACAGAGAAGTTACTGAGAATTCTTCTGTCTAGCATGAAATGAAGAAATCCCGTTTCCAACGAAGGCCTCAATGCGGTCCATATATCCACTTGCAGACTTTACAAACAGAGTGTTTCCAAACTGCTCTATGAAAAGAAAGGTTAAACTATGTGAGTTGAAGGCACACATCACAAAGAATTTTCTGAGAATGATTCTGTCTGGTTTTTATTTGAAGATATTTCCCTTTCTACTGTTGGCATCAAATGGCTAGAAATCTCCACTTGCAAATTCCGCAAAAAGAGTGTTTCAAATCTGCTCTGTCTAAAGGGACGTTCCACTCTGTGAGTTGAATGCACACAACACAAAGAATTTACTGAGAATTCTTCCGTCTAGCATTCAATGAAGAAATCCCGTTTCCAACGAAGGCCTCAAACAGGTCCATATATCCAATTGCAGACTTTACAAACAGTGTGTTTCCAAACTCCTCTATGAAAAGAAAGGTTAAACTCTGTGAGTTGAACGCACACATCACAAAGCACTTTCTGAGAATGATTCTGTCTGGTTATTATACGAAGATATTTCCTTTTCTGCAATTGTCCTCAAATCGCTTGAAATCTCCACCTGAAAATGCCACAGCAAGAGTGTTTCAAATCTGCTCTCTCTAAAGCAAGGTTCAACTCTGTGAGTTGAATACACACAACACAAAAAAGTTGCTGAGAATCTGTCTAGCATGAAATGAAGAAATCCCGTTTCCAACGAAGGCCTCAATGCGGTCCATATATCCACTTGCAGACTTTACAAACAGAGTGTTTCCAAACTGCTCTATGAAAAGAAAGGTTAAACTATGTGAGTTGAAAGCACACATCACAAAGAATTTTCTGAGAATGATTCTGTCTGGTTTTTATTTGAAGATATTTCCCTTTCTACTGTTGGCAACAAATGGCTAGAAATCTCCACTTGCAAATTCCGCAAAAAGAGTGTTTCAAATCTGCTCTGTCTAAAGGGACGTTCCACTCTGTGAGTTGAATGCACACAACACAAAGAATTTACTGAGAATTCTTCCGTCTAGCATTCAATGAAGAAATCCCGTTTCCAACGAAGGCCTCAAACAGGTCCATATATCCAATTGCAGACTTTACAAACAGTGTGTTTCCAAACTCCTCTATGAAAAGAAAGGTTAAACTCTGTGAGTTGAACGCACACATCACAAAGCACTTTCTGAGAATGATTCTGTCTGGTTATTATACGAAGATATTTCCTTTTCTGCAATTGTCCTCAAATCGCTTGAAATCTCCACCTGAAAATGCCACAGCAAGAGTGTTTCAAATCTGCTCTCTCTAAAGCAAGGTTCAACTCTGTGAGTTGAATACACACAACACAAAAAAGTTACTGAGAACTCTTCTTAGTCTAGCATGAAAGGAAGAAACCCCGTTTGCAACGAAGGCCTCAAAGAGGTCCAAATATCCACTTGCAGACATAACAAGCAGAGTGTTTCTAAACTGCTCTAAGAAAAGAAAGGTTAAACTCTGTGAGTTGAAGGCACACATCACAAAGTAGTTTCTGAGAATGATTCTGTCTAGTTTTTATTTGAAGATATTTCCTTTTCTACTGTTGGCATCAAATCGCTTGAAATCTCCACTTGCAAACTCCACAAAAAGAGTGTTTCAAATCTGCTCTGTGCAAAGGGACGTTCCACTCTGTGAGTTGAATACACACAGCACAAAGAAGTTACTGAGAATTCTTCTGTCTAGCATGAAATGAAGAAATCCCGTTTCCAACGAAGGCCTCAATGCGGTCCATATATCCACTTGCAGACTTTACAAACAGAGTGTTTCCAAACTGCTCTATGAAAAGAAAGGTTAAACTATGTGAGTTGAACGCACACATCACAAAGAATTTTCTGAGAATGAT